>NC_000013.11:84216050-84368891 GCF_000001405.40 Homo sapiens
TGGATTCTGAGACTTAGAATGGAGGCATATGTGTTAATATACTCCAGGACTTGAAAATTCATATTTCTTAAACCTTCTAGGCCAACAAAAGTAGCTATACTTCTCTCTATTAAAGATTAACACTCCCTTCCTGCCTAAAGACAATGAAGAGGCTTCGGTTTTGCAGGAAAACTGGCACTCTACTCTGAACTTACAGCCACCTTCATTGTTAGCCATCTGAGCAAACACTAAGGTCAAATCACAATGTAGGCCAGGAGCAGTGGCTCATGCCTATAATCCCAACACTTTGCGAGGCCAAAGCAGGAGGATTCCTTGAGTTTAGGAATTTAAGACAAGCCTAGGCAATATAGTGAGACTCCATCTCTATAAAAAAAAAAAGAAACATATATTTGTGTATAGTCTTTATATATTTTTATATATTTATATTAATAAATATATATTTATGTAATAATATTTTATATATATATATGAATTACCTAGGCATGGTGGCACATGCCTATAGTCTCAGCTACTCTGGAGGCTGAGGTGGAAAGATCATTTGAGCCCAGGAGGTCAAGGCTGCAGAGTCATGATTACACCACCATACTCCAGACTGGGTGAGAGAGCAAGACCCCTACTGAAAAAAAAAATTGCTATGTAACAGAGCCAAGGTAGAGCTAGGTATATTAAGTGAGGAAAGGCACTGTAAACTCTAAGATCAGTGGGACGTACTCAACATGGATTAGTAGGAGCTGGGAGAGTGTGTATGGAGGAAGGTCTTGAGAGCTGAAATATAGCTCTGAAATATAAATTTAGATAAGACAGAGTTCATTGATATGGAATCACTCTTTTAATACAGACCCCCTAAAAGGTTGGTGTTAACACATGGGTAAATTGACTCCTTAGAAAAAGCAATGGCCTACCCAAGGCAAAGTAAAAAATGCAAGAAAAACTTTGAAAAAATGGTGAAGGTAGGAATAAGAAAGCTCAGATAAATGCAATATAAAGTGGGTATTCTATGAAGGTCAGGAAAGCCACTAGCAAATATTTCTGTAGGATGAAAAGGGGGACACTGTTTACAAAACAATAAAGAATATCTTGTTGGGAAAGCACCAGCAATTTTCAGATCAATCGTGAATGTTCTTTATGATCCAACACCAAAAAACTGTGCTGGTATCCATGGCTGCAAGACCTGAAGACAGATCACATCCTAGGACTCTTTGCAGACACTGCCCACTACGAGCCCAGAGCCTGGTAGCTCTGCTGGGTGTCTAGACCCAGAAGAGCAAAACAATTGCTAAGTTCACCTTTCAGGAAGCCCCATTCCTAAGGGAAGGGGGAGAACACAACATCAAGGGAGTACCCTGTGGGACAAAATAATCTGAACAGCACCCCTTGAATTTCAGATCTTCCTTAAGACATAGTCTACCAAAATGGGAAGGAACCCGAAAAACAATTCTAGTAATATGACAAAACAAGGTTCTTTGACACCCGCTAAAGATCATACCAGCTCACCAGCAATGGATCCAACCTAAAACAAAATATCAGAATTGCCAGAAAAATAGTTCAGAAGTTCAATTATTAAGCTAATCAAGGAGGCATGAGAGAAAGGTGAAGTCCAACTTAAATCATAAAACATGATTCATAATGTGAAAGGAAAATTCTTCAGTGAAATAGAGAGCATAAATGAAAAACAATCACAACTTCTGTAAATCAATAACACACAGAGAAATGCAAAACGCACTGGGAAGTCTCAGCAGTAGAATTAAACAAGCAGAATAAAGAACTCTAAGATAAGGCTTCTGAATTAACTCAATCTATCATAGACAAAGAAAAAAGAATTTTAAAAACTTAACAAAGTCTCCAAAAAGTTTAGGACTATGTTCAACCTCCAAACCTAAGAATAATTGGTGTTCCTGAGGAATAAGAGAAATCTAAAAGTTTGGAAAATATGTTTGAGGGAATAATAGAGGAAAACTTCTCTGGTCTTGCTAAACATCTAGATATCCACATTCAAGAAGCTCAATGAACACCCAGGAAATTCATCACAAAAAGATCATCACCTAGGCACATAGTAATCAGGTTAACTAAAGTCAAGACGAAGGAAATAAGAGATGTGAGGCAAAAGAATCAGGTAATCGATAAAGGAAAACCTATCAGATTAACAGCAGATTTCTCAGCAGAAACACTACAAACCAGAAGGGACTGGGGTCCTACTTTTAGCCTCCTAAAACAAAACGATTACCAGCCAAGAATTTTGTATCCAGTGAAACTAAGCTTTGTAACGAAGAAAAGATACAGTTCCTTTCCAGACAAACAAATGGTGAGAGAATTCACCACTGCTAAACCAGCATTACAAGAATTGCTAAAAGGAGCTCTAAATCTTGAAACAAATCCTTGAAATACACCAAAATAGAATCTCCTTAAAGCATAAGTCTCACAGGACATATAAAACAATAACACAATGAAAAAAAACAAAACGTATTCAGGCAACAAATAGCGTGATGAATAGAATAGTCCCTCACATCTCAGTACTAACATTGAATGTAAATGGCCTAAATGCCCCATTTAATGATACAGCATGGCAGAATGAATAAGAATTCATCAACCAAGTTTCTACTGTCTTCAGTAGTCTCACCCAACACATAAGGACTCACATAAAATTAAGATAAAGGGGTGGAAAAAGATATTCCATGCAAATGGACACCAGAAGCAAGCAGGTTTAACTATTCTTATATATATCAGACAAAACAAACTTTCAAGCAACAGCAGTTAAAAAAGACAAAGAGGGACATTATGTAATTGTAATAGGAATAGTCCAACAGGAAAATATCAACATTCTAAATATATATGCATCTAACACTGGAGCTCATAAATTTATAAAACAATTATTACTAGTCCTAAGAATTGAGATAGATGGCAACACGATAATCATGGGGGACTTCAATACTCCACTGACTGCACTGGACAGGTCATCAAGACTGGGTCAACAAAGAAACAATGGACTTAAAATATACCCCACAAATAATGGACTTAAAAGCTATTTACAGAACATTCTGCCCAATAACTGTAGAATATAAATTCTATTCATCAGCACATGGAACATTCTCCAAGATAGACCATATGATAGGCCACAAAACAAGTATCAATAAATTTAAGAAAATTAAAAGTATATCAAGTACTCTCTCAGACGACAGTGGAATAAAATTGAAAATCAACTCCAAAAGTAACCCTCAAAACAATGAGAATACATGGAAATTAAATAACCAACTCCTCAATAATCATGGGGTCAAAAGTGCAATCAAGATGGAAATTGAAAAATTCTTTGAACTGAATGATAATAGCAACACAACCTATCAAAACCTCTGGGATACAGCAAAAGCAGTGCTAAGAGAAAAGTTCACAGCACTAAATGCCTCCATCAAAAAGTCTGAAAAACACAAATAGACAATCTAACGTCACACCTCACAGAACTAGAGAAATAAGAACAATCCAAACCCAAACCCAGCAAAGAAAAGAAATAACGAAGATCAGAGCAGAATTAAATGAAATTAAACAAAAAAAAAGATAAATGAAACAAAATGCTGGCTCTTTGAGAAAATAAAATTGATAGACCATTAGCAAGAATAATCAAGAAAGGAAGAGAGATCCAGTAAGCCCAAATAGAAATGAAATGGGAGATATTACAACTGATACCACAAAAATACCAAAGATTATCCAAGGCCACTATGAACACCTTCATGTGCATAAAATAGAAAATCTAAAGGAAATAAATAATTTTTTTTTTTGAAATATACAACCCTCCTAGATTAAACCAGGAATATATAGAATCTCTGAATAGACCAAGAACAAGCAGTGAGATTGAAATATTAATAAAACAATTTCCAACCAAAAAAAGTCCAGGACTAGATGGATTCATACCTGAATTCTATCAGACATTCAAAGAAGAATTGGTACTAATCCTATTGACAATATTCCAAATAGAGACAGAAAAAGAAGGAATCCTTCCTAAATCGTTCTATGAAGCCAGTAACACCATAATACAAAAACCAGGGGAGGATATCACAAAAAAAGAAAAAAAGAAAGAAAACTACAGACAAATATCTGATAAACATAAATGCAAAAATCCTCAACAAACTGCTAGCAAACTGAATCCAACAGCATATCAAAAGATAATCCACCGTGATCAAGGAGGTTTCATACCAGGGATGCAGGGATTGTTTAACATATGTAGGTCAATAAATGTGATACACCACATAAACAGCATTATAAACAAAATGATTATCTCAATAGATGCAGAAAAAAATTTCACAAAATTTAGCATGCCTTTATGATTAAAAGTCTCAGCAAAATCAGTATAGAACAGAAATACCTTAAGGTAATAAAAGCCATTTATGACAAACCCACAACCAACATTATACTGAATGAGGAAAAATTGAAAGCATTTCCTGTGAGAACTTGAAGAAGACAAGGATGTGCACTTTCACCACTTCTATTCAACATAGTACTGGAAGTCCTAGCCAGAGCAATCAGACAAGAAAAAGAAATAAAGGGCATCCAAAATAGTGAAGAGGAAGTAAAATTGTTGCTGTTTGCTGATGATATGATTTTATACCTAGGAAACCCTAATGATTCATACATAAAGCTTCTAGAACTGATAAATTCAGCAAAGTTTCAGGATATGAAATTAATGTACACAAATCAGTAGCACTGCTGTACACCAAGTAGCAGTAGCACTGCTGTACACCAAGTAGCAGTAGCACTGCTGTATCACCAAAGTGATAATCAGATCGAGAACTCAACTCCTTTCACAGTAGATGCAAAGAAAAGAAAATACTTAGGAACATACCTAACCAAAGACATGAAAGACCTCTACAAAGAAAACTACAAAACACTGCTGAGAGAAATTATAGACAACACAAACAAATGGAAACACACCCCATGCTCATGGATGGGTAGAATCAGTATTGTGAAAATGACTATACTGCTGAAAATGATTTACAAATTCAATGCAATTCCCATCAAAATACCACCATCATTCTTCACAGAACCAGAAAAAAATCCTAAAATTCATATAGAACCAAAAAAAAAAAAAAAGCTTGCATAGCCAAAACAAGACTAAGCCAAAAGAGGCATCACACTACCTGACTTCAAACTATAGTATAAGTCTATAGTCACCAAAACAGCATGATACTGGTATAAAAATAGGAACATAAAACAATGGAACAGAATAGAGAACCCAGAAATAAAGCCAAATACAGCCAAGCGATCTTTGACAAAGCAAACAAAAACACAAAGTGTGTAAAGGACACCCAATTCAAAAAATAATGCTGGGATAATTGACAAGCCATCTGTAGAAGAATGAAACTGGATCTTCATTTTTCACCTTATACAAAATTCAACTCAAGATGGATCAAAGACTTAAATCTAAGACGTGAAACAATAAAGATTCTAGAAGGTAACATTAGAAAACTCCTTCTAGACATTGGCTTAGGCAGAGTTCATGACCAAGCAACCAAAAGCAAATGCAATAAAAAGAAAGATAAATAGATGAGACTTAATTAAACTGAAAAGCTCTGCACAGCAAAAGAAATAATCAGCAGAGTAAGTAGACAACCCACAGGGTGGGAGAAAATTTTCGTAATCTATACATCTGACAAAAGACTAATATCTACAATCTATAAAGAACTCAAACAAATCAGCAAGAAAAAACCAAACAATCCCATCAAAAAGTGAGCTAAGGACATGAATATACACTTCTCAAAAGGAGATATACAAAAGGCCAACAAGCATATGGAAAAATGTTTCACCTCACTAATTATCAAGGAAATGCAAATCAAAATCACAATGCAATACCACCTCAGTCCTGCAAGAATGGCCATAATCAAAAAATGAAAAAATAATAGATGTTGACGTGGATGTGGTGAAAAGGAAACACTTTTACATTGTTGTTGGGAATGTGAACTAGTACAACCACTATAAAAAACAGTGTGGAGAGTCCTTAAATAACTAAAAGTACATCTACCATTTGATCAAGCAATCCCACTATCAGATAACTACCCAGAGGAAAATAAACCATTTTAAGAAAAAGATACTTGCACATGAATGTTTATAACAACATAACTTGCAATTGAAAAAATATGGAACCAGCCCAAATGCCCATCAATCAATGAGTAGATAAAGAAAATGTTATATATATGTACATATGTATACACACACACACATACACACACACACACACACACACACACACACCCCATGGAATTCTGCTTGGCTTTAAAAGGAACAAAATAAGAGCATTTGCAGCAAACTATATGGATTTGGAGACTTATGCTAAGTGAAGTAACTCAGGAATGGACAACCAAGGATCATATGTTCTCACTCATATGCGGGCTAAGCTATGAGGGCGCAAAGGCATAAGAATGGTACATTGGATTTGGGGGACTCGGGACAGGGTTGGCAGTGGCAAGGGATGAAAAACTACACATTAGGTTCAGGGCATGCTGTTCTGGTGATGGGTGTACCGAAATTTCAGAAATCACCATTAAGAAGCTTATGTAACCAAACACAACCTGTTCCTCAAAAACCTATTGTAATAAAAAACTAAAATACAAAATAAAAAGATAATCAATAGTGCTTCAAGGTCTGATTATGTGAAGATTTTTAAATCCATTAGATTTATAACACTGAGATCACTGGTGACCTTTTTCAGATCAGTGTTTATAGAATAATAGAGGCTCAATAGTAAAATAAGGGTAAGGAGTGAAAACTGCATATGTGGATAACACAATTATAAGTGGCATTTATCTGATTTTAATTCTTACCTAGCCTATACAAATGTTTCTAAAACTCTAGAAATTAAATGTTAATAAGAGACAATATAAGAATAATAAAAAATAAAAGAGATGATACTGCTATACTGACTTCCTGATACCAAAAGGGGGTGGTAAGATCTCAACGTAGTAGAGGCCAGGTGGTGCCATATCATCAATAAGAACAACAAGGTCAAAATGGCAGCCAGTGGGCACAGATGTGCAGACAGATATGAAGATGGTTATTATAATAAAAATGTCATAGGGACAGCCAACGAAGTTATTGCTCAATATATATAATCAAAATTATAAATTATGGATGATCTGGGGGTAGAGGACAGCTGCTGTAATAAAAAATAATTATCCTTCCTTCAATTCTGAACTTGAGCCAGTTTTTAGATCTGGAAAAGCACTGACTGATGGAAAGGCCAAGTGTCCAGAAGGAAGGAAACTGTAATACAAGTGTATGTAGTTATGATTCATCCAGTCCTCCCACTGACCATTCACTTGGTTAAAAATGCTGTAGAAAAAGAGGAATACACAGACATTTCAAGAACTATTGAAAAACAGAGGCCAAGTTGACATTGAACTCTGCAGAATCAAATAATCATGATGGCATCCCTCTTAGAGTCAAAACATATTGGAACAGGTGGTAAATGGAATCTTAGCTTAATTCTAAGTATCATTGATTCTGCTAGGTCCATGGGCCCATTCAATGGTCATTTCACTAGTTCCCAAATGTATACCTGGAGTGGGTATACAGGGTCATTGGTAAACCTCCCACAGTTGCTCCTTGGCCTGTAGATAACAACTATCATATAAGAGAGGTCAAGCAGAAGGATATGAATCTGCCAAACTATCAGCTCACAATGTAATGATTTTTTAAAATCCCATCCTAAAGCAGAAATTAATGCCCTTAAACACCTAAAAACATGTAAATTCATATTATATCATGAATTAATTTATTATCTATGAAAGGATCTGTCAGACACTCATAAAAACCAGATACATTTCAGAAGACTATAGTATATATTATTGTTAACTCTGCAAAACACATAGTAACCCACTATAGCTACCATGCCAGATATGATAACTTTAGAGGGATTAAGGAAAAGAGCAATCAAGATTCTGCAAATTTTCAGATGGATTTTACCTTTGTATAAAACATATGCACCAGATCTGCACAAAAATGGACTCTGGTAGATGCCATAATGTGCTGCAGAAATTCTCCAACATTCAGGCATATATTTCACTATGCTATAAGTAGCTGCCTGTCCCAAGGCTAATCCCTTCTCAAGTCAATATTGAGAACAATATTGAAGACAAAAAACCCAACCTGCTATTTAGGATATTTCTGAAGGGCCACCTGGACTCGGATACCCTGATCAGTGGAGGCCTTTATTGTCACAACATCACAGTTCAAAATCTCTCTTTCCTCACTCCTCTGCATGTGCTCCTGAGAAGCACTCCTCAATAGACTTTTTCTACACTTAATCCCAGAGTCTGCTTCTTGGGTATCTAAGAGAGCATGACATTTTTATTTTTGTTTATTATTGTGTGTGTGAAGTATAAAATAAATGCTTTTGTTTAATTCCGGTGAAGCATATTTTAAATTTAAATTTATCTATTTATCACAGAGCCCTTTTCTCCCACCACCAAGAACTGTAGGACATAATAAATATCCTTATTGCTTCTCTAAGAGACTGGGTAGATTTTTTTTAAGCCTTCTATCTCTGGTTTCAAATGGACCAACTTCTAAGTCTTCCAGTTTTCTTATTCTTAATCTCAGCCAAGTATGAAAGCATATATTCCACCCCTGAGTGGAATTTAGCAAGAAAATCTGGTACTTAAAAACACATATTTAGATGTGCTGGTATGTAACATGTATATGTACGTAGGCATATTTTTATATAAATATGACATTTGGGAATTTTCTTTCCTGTAGTCCATAACATGATTTCAGTTTCTTAAAAGTGGTAATATAAATTTCAATATCATTGAAGTATTTAATCTATTTAGACATGTAAGCTACAAAAATAGAAGATAGGCTAAATTCTTGTGGAATAAAGAATATATAAAGAACTGTAGATGAAAAGAGTTTTGATAAAATATTTCAGAGAACAATATGACATACTACTCAGCAGTGTTTTTTTTGTACCTTTAAGACAGGAAACACAAAATGTGAAAAATATGTAGGCTTTACCATCATAAATCCTAAATTTACGTCCAGACACACCCTCTTAATTTACTTCACTGATCTTAAGAATAACATCAAACTTAGATTAACACAGCTTCCTCCTCTGTGGAATGGGCTCAGTAACCTGAGTCATAGAGTTATGGTAAGAAACCATTAGTATGAAATTTATGAAGTCATTACATCATCATCTTAAATAACCATCATTCTCCTGGACATAATATTTATTAAAATGTGTTATTTATGGTATAGATAACAGTGTAATGAAACTACATTGAAATATATGTACTATATATTTGAAAACTGAGATGGGATTGCTGTGTAGAAATCAAAAAGCTTTGTAGAAATTAATTCAAATACCATCTATTCATCATTAACGTAGCTTAAAAACTTACTATAATAAGCATATTCCAGTACTCTGTTGTCCTATTCTACAGAAATGTTACACCTATGTCTATGGTCTAAGTCTTAAAACATAGATAATAATAATGATAAGTAAATTATTATTTATGAAAGAAATAACATTTGTAATAGAGACCTCAAAATGATCAATGTCACACAGAAATATCTACCACTAATAACAGCTATGGTAAAGCCTTATTGTCGACCAAACTTTTCCCCAAAACAAACTAGAATAATAATCTGAAAGCAAGCAGAATTTGAGAGGCTTCAGTGATAAAATGTAACTTTAATGTTCAATGTATTAGAATGAAATTGCCTTACAAATTATCTTACACACAGAGTAGATGTCCTGCCATGAGATTTGATCATAACCTATTGTGATGATCTATCTCTGAGGCTAATTTAATATGACAACATTAAATATTGAATTCCTATTATTAACTTTCCTAATTTAATTTTATGCTCACCAAGAATCCTTCAAATATGAAATTTGGCAATTTCTGTTCTATACCTCCAGGAAGAGATTGTGCATTTGATTTTTTATGCAATTTTATTTATCAGAGTAAACTAATTGTATTGTTATCCTGGTTTAGTACATTAAGCTTGGTTAATCTGTGTCTATCCCTGAGAAATGGAGTCACTTTATGTTTACAAATTAGTCTGCTTAGCCTGATAACATATATGGATTGAGGTTAAAGGATTAAGTTAAGGTTTACAGGGGAGACCTTTCTGGCCAGCGTCCAAGGCATGTCTGCATCACACTGCATGCTCCATACATTTTTTGTTTGAAATTTCTCCAAGTGGTAGAGTATATGACTCATTTAATCTACAAGTGTAGATTCAGTTCATTTAATCTACAAGTGTAGATTCAGTTCATTTAATCTACAAGCGATTGAGCTACTGCAGAGCGATTCAGATCAGAAGCTTCATACTCAGGCTGCTTACCAAACCCCACCATGTAGAAACTGAGAAAGCTTACTAATTTTTTTAAGTTGTGTGTGTGTGTGTGTGTGTGTGTGTGTGTGTGTGTGTGTGTTATTATTCTGATCTGAAAATATTTATCCCATATGGTTGTGGGAAAGCTAAATAGAGTTAATATTACAGAGTTGAGGCACCTGAAATAAGAAATAATATTGCAAAGGGAATTCAATGCACTTTGAACATGGAAAAGCACAGAGCAAGGTTTGTTCTCATCATCATCACCATCCTGTTTACAAGTATTACTATTAGCAAACCGCTCTGTAAAGCACAAGAGTTTCAACATAAATAACATTTTTTTTCTAGAAACAGTTACCTACTAATTTATATAGGAATAAAAAATGGGGGAAAGTAAGTATACTATGAAGATAAGCATAGTATTGTGAAATGCAGATAATAGTGCCTGCCTCACAGAGATTTGTGAGGATTAAATGGTGTATGTAAAATTTCTGACACATGGTATCTACTCAGAAGTGGTTATTCTTGTAATCCATTGATTATGGATGTCCTGCTTCATTACTTAGTCACCAAAATGAAACCAAATACTGTTTTTTAAGTTTTAGAATTGCAGCTATATATTGCTGTGGTCTTTAATCTCAGGGACTTGGGCATAAATCATAATATTCTATCCCATAATATACCTAAGTCCCTGTAAGCTTCCCGACTTCAACAGCCTCAGAAAAGGACAGTAGAAAACACTCCTCAGTTCAGCAACAGAACCTATTCTCTGCTGCGGGCTGCTTCACTCTGACTGTGAGAACAGGGGTCTTGCACATTCTTTTGATGTCCTGGGATCAGTTGTGATGATAGAGAGCTATAGTTGTTCCAATAGACCACTTTTAGGCCCAGTCTTTAGTAGTGAGAAAGGGAAAAGAGTGGAACCCTGATCCAGAGCAGAGTTTTTCAGCCTTGGCATTATTGATATTTGGACAAGATAAGAGTTTGTTGTGGGAGACTGTACTGTGAATTGGATATTTAACAATATCTCTGGCCTTCACCCTCTAGATATCAGTAGCACCCTCTTCCCCAATCAAGGTGACAATCAACATGTCTTTAGACATTGCCAACTGTCCCCTAGAAGTCAAAATTGCCCCGGGTTAAGAATCAGTATTTTAGACACATGCCTATAAACTTTTGAATTAATGCTTCTCTTATTACCAAAGAAAAATACTTCATTTCCACTTTATTTGGCACTCTGGTACACTGCTGTTATTATAAGATTTTGACCCATTTGAGATGTGAGTAATTTAGGTTTAAGTGCACAAGAAACATTTTTGAAGAAAGTAACATTTATTCAGGGGCTGGAAGAATTTTGTGAGATGGAGAATGAGGTGGTGATGGTGGTATTTTAGCCTGAAAGACGAGTAAATAAAGACTTGGGTCTATGAATGTTCCCACCTTGTTTGGTGAACTCCACACACATAAGTATTTATGACCAATTCTTTGGAAGTAAAGGTCCTGCAGAGAAAGATATATTTATTATTAAACTTAAGAGTAAGACAGACTCTTATTACACATCCTTATATGTTCTGTAGGACCAAGAAATGAAAGTTAACAAAAGTGGAACAGTGAGTCTTGTCCAGCGGGCTGATTGATCCTGATGAACGAATGAAGGTTAATCTAGACTGGTGCATAAGAAATGTTGATTTTCTCTATCTCTTGTTAAACAAGTTAGTTAAGCATCAAATAATAGGATTTGCCGTAAAGCTTTATACCTTAACAATTTTACCCATTTGTAGAGTTCTTCTTATGTGCCCGAAAAGTGCTATTTTGTTGTAAGTTTTACCATGGGACATGTGGTAAACATTTTTACTTCTATTTAAATGCAATAATATGAAGCTCAGAGAGATTGGATTTAAGATCTTTCTGAATGGAAAGACTTTTCTTAGAACTCAGTAAAATATAATTAATACATCTAAGTGTTGGGAGATGAACTTCCAGTGGCTTTTAGTAAGAATATTATTAAATAATATATTAATTCCCATAATTTTGCACTTATGTTACAACTATAAGGAGTCAATATTTATTACTTAAGGGAAGTCAGTATTTGTTACTTAAGTTAAAAATTCTGCTATTACGTGTTATTTTTGTAGCTCCTTAAAAATACAAAATGTGATAAAGATTTCTGATTTGTCTTTTTTCTTCTTTCCACTGTGAGTGTGTGCTTCTCGCAATGATTAGAAAGCCTGGTAAATTCTGAATCTCAAGTGTTTTGCAATACCAAACAAAATTTAAAAATTAAAATCTTACAAGATTACAAATTGATTTGAGACATCTCCATTTATGTATGAGTGAAATTAATATTCAAGTATCAACAAATTACACTCTAGGCTCACATTTAAAATATTCTTGCTCCAACATGTTTTGAACCTTTGTGAAAAGTGTGGTTTGTTTAATGTGCTGGGAATATCCAGCTACCCAATTTAGAGGGTAAGATATTAATCTTTACGATAGATCTGAACCCTCAAATTGGAAAATTAGAAAACCAGAGGAGAAACAATAAGGCTCAATTAGTAACAATGTCCTGCCTCTCACTATATACAACATCTTAGAATTTCATGTCACACAAACCTAGTAATAATATAAGCATTCCATTCAGCCACACGGAATTACCAGTGTATGATTATACAGCTTTCATTACTCCACACTAGTGCTCGATTTATCTTTCCCCAACTGTTACGCCAACTCACCTATCTCTAGATCTTTTGGTTACCTTCCCTTCCTTTAAATACTATCTCAAAAGTCATTTAATATACAAGGGATTCCTATCCTCAGAGTTGTAATTCTTCTTTCTCCTGTAGCCATTTTAGCTGACTTAACATTACATTGCAATACCATTTATAACTTTATCAGTTCTTTGAAGACAAGAATCATGTCTCACTTATCATTTTAATATGGGTAACTACGGAACAATGTCTTGCACATAGCTATGCTTAAATGTTTATTGATAACGATTTGGATTTATCATGTATGGAAGCACATTTTCCCCCTATTTCACTCCCTCTTCTTCTTAAATTTAGCAAAAATTAGTCATGGGACTTTAAAGGAGACTCTCTTTTTGGAGAATACTATACAGAAGATGATATGAGGGATTGAGGAGTCTGACAGCATAAAACTCTGATTATCTTGCAGGTATCGTACCCTGACCGCAATCTTAATAAATTCATTTTTACTCTTCACTTTTTCTCCTTAGGCATCGCCTGGCCATTCAAAACCCTTGAGCTCTCTGAGATCATCTTTTGTCTTTGTAATAACCTCTCTTTTCCTTGTTTGATTCACATAAATGTTTATGAAGAGGTCTGATCTTTGATGTCAAAATCCTTTCCTACCACAGAATGGAAAAAGGTACTGAAAGTCCAATAGAAAGAATTCATGTTATTAAACAATGAGGGAAATGGTTTCACTATGAGGAATGTCAGATTATATTCACAGGAACATTTTAAGCTATTTTTACTTTGATTTGTAGTCTTTGTTCCTTTTTTACTTTAAGTTTTATTTTTATGTCAAACAAACAGTGTAACAATTATAACTGGCTCCAGAGTTATTACAATTTTGCAAAAGAATGACCATATTAAACATACCATTTTGGTTTAACGTCAGATTCAGTAAATAAAATTCACTCTTCACTAAAACTAAAAAGCATTATCTCA
The DNA here is from genome assembly GCF_000001405.40 of Homo sapiens. Taxonomy (NCBI): domain Eukaryota; kingdom Metazoa; phylum Chordata; class Mammalia; order Primates; family Hominidae; genus Homo; species Homo sapiens. The sequence continues at coordinate 84,230,066 of NC_000013.11, forward strand.
TATTCTGCTGCTCATCACCAACTCAGAAATAAAGCATCTACATTTTTGGTATATTATTTCTACTAGAAAACACAATGCCCTAGGCAAAACATCTCCTTTTGTACTTTGACAAGCCAATAGGTATTTTACTCTATCATAAAACAAATAGCTTGAATAAAACAAAACCATGAGATTAATAATTATTTTAACTGGCTATGAAGCTTTAAACACACACACACACACACACACACACACACACACAAATTGCAGAGGGAAAATATATTAAGATGTATAAGACAATCAAAATAAATTCAGTCATGCTCCTGAAAACTTAATCTCCTGTGTGTAGTAATTTGCACTTCTTAAACAGCAATAGGAGGGCTGTATGTCACACAAAAGACATTATCTTAACTGGTACTGTTCAAATTGATACATTCTGAACAATGTCAAAATCATATATGCAAACGGATGAAAAGAATGAAAGAGAAAGAGACAGAGGAAAACAAACAAGTAGGGACTCAATGTTTAATAATTTTGCATTTCTCTTGAGATTTTAAAAAATAATTTTAAAAATATTAAATTTTACTGGTAAATTCATTTAAGATAAAATAGTTTTTAACTGTATTAACAGAATATTTTATGAAAACTATAGAATTTAAGTGGTCCTCTGTGTCTGAACCTAGCAGGGGACTCAGTTTGCATAACAAATGAATGAGAATGACTGAGTACAGATCACTCTGGGCTGAAGTAGAGTGTGAGTTAAGCAGTTCTAAGAGCTCAAGATCTATTGCATAGCATGGTGTCAAGAGTTAATAATAATGTATTATATGTTTCAAAATTGCTGAAAGATTAGATTTTTAAACGTTCTCTCTACAAGAGAATAAGTGGTGAGGTGAGAGATATGTTGACCAGCTTGATATAATCACTACTCAATGTATACATATGTCAAAACATCACATTGTATCCTATAAATATATATAATTATTATTTGTCAATAATAAAAGCAAAAAAGTGAGACTAGAAAAAAATGTGGGACTAGATTTTGGAGGATGTAAAATCCATGTAGAGTTGTCCTTTCTAAAGATGTGAAAAATGTATATTCATTTGTATTTGCGTACTTTTCTCTGAATTCATAATTTTGATTTTAAAACACATGATCATTTATACTCTAATACTGAGATTTTTTCACAGGAGGATCTAGATGCAAAAGAATGAAAAGGAATGCATATAATACAAGGTGACAGACAAATTCAGTCTTGGATTTGTGGTTAATACTAATATAACAGAGTCCCAGACATAAAAAAGCTTGTGAAATTACATGGGAAATTTCTTATAGTAACTGTTTACCCACTTTCATCTCTGTAATTCCTAATATCCATATTATAATGTTTTAAATGTTTGAGAAACTTTAATATGGAAATTTTTATAATTATTTGTTTAATAGGGCTTCGTTATCAGTTACGGATATTTCTGATGACCTTCCTTTTTATCAAACTTAATTGTTGCTTGCAACAGTATGATTAGAATGTCATTTGAAACATTCTGAAAAAAATAACTTGCTAATGTGCTTCAAAGGTTTAAAAAATATTAATAGGTTCTAAACCAAGTTATTTTTAGGCTGTCCACTAAGAAAATAATCTCATCCATAAATAAACTGCAAAATATCAGCTGAAGTTTTATTTTTAACAGAAAAACATAATGAAAATAATCTAAAAGTTCAGTATTTAAATATTGGATAAACTGATTATATTTATTCATATCATTGAGACACCTAACAAAAAGTCCTAAATCGAGGGGAGAATTAAGATTTAGACATAGAATCAAACAAAAAGGAAAAATACTACAGACACAAATATTAACTATAATAATAATTAGTAGTAACTCCTGTGGCAGGATTGCAAATTAATCATAATATACTCAGGTTCATTCTGAATATCCTAAATTCCTTCTCATCCTCCTCGTGTAAGTCTTACCCTCTGGGTAATTGAACAGATAAACGTATTTTCTACTCTCCCGAAATTTGAATAGTCTGTAAATAACATGCTCATTCCTTCAGATTCCATTCTATCTACTGGTCTTCATTATGATGGAGTATGGATATAGGAGTAAAGGAAGACATCATTATGTCTTTTTTTTTTTTTTTTTTTTTTTTTTTTGAAGTATAGTCGCCCTCTGTCACCCAGGCTGGAGTGTGGTGACTGTGACCCAATCTCGGCTCACGACAACTTCTGCCTCCCTGGTTTAAGTGATTGTGGTGCCTCAGCCTCCCAAGTAGCTGAGATTACAGGTGTGTGCCACCACACCTAGCTAATTTTTGTAAGTTTAGTAGAGACGGGATTTCGTCATTTTGGTCAAGCTGATCTCGAACTCCTGACCTCAAGTGATCAGCTCTCCTCGGCCTCCCAAAGTGCTGGGATTACAGGCATGACCCACAGTGCCCAGCCCACTGTATGTCTTTTATCACATGTGGGAATGGAGGGAACAGGGTGTCTGGGTCATGCAATGCTTTCCAGAACCTCATTCTTTATTTCTGGGCAGTGGTTTATTCCTAGTGGTTCTTGGAGATGAGCGGTGACCCTGAAGCACATTGTACTTTTATCCCTAGGATTTCAGCAGGCATGTGGCAAGTCACATCTTCCCAGCATTTTACACTGAAAGTAGAGGCTATGTTATTTGCCTTCAACATGCTTCTCTTCCACAATCCGTATAGGAAGGGTCAAAAATTATCTTTTATTAACATAATATATTATATATTCATTTACATAAAATTCTACGAGTAAGAATTAAGGACTAATTTTTGATGTCATAAAAGAGGAAAAAAAGGTATCGAATAAATCTTACCTCTTGGCAAAGCTTTGCCTTTTATGAACTCCATGCCATGTCCTATTTTGGATGTCAAAAGCCTGATATAAACTCTCTCTTTTGCTTCTACATTCTGAATAAATAAATCCTAACACTCCTTCAGGTAGAAGAAAGTCATATTTTGATTAGATAATGCTTCTCCTCTTTGAAAGGCAAAAGGGAAAAACATGTTTGAATGTTAAAGCTATTACACCAATGTCTGGCAAAGGATCATAAATCAGATGTGTTCTAAGCCTTTCTTTGAGTTATCAGATTTAATCCTCAATGAGTCCTTTGATATGGGTACTAACAGAATTTAGTTTTGATTAGTATTTCAGGGATTAAACTAATTCCACAACATGAATGACAGAGCTATTAAATGGCAAAACTTAGCCATATCAGGCCCTGAAGTTGGAAATCACAACAATTGAGCCAGACCACTTCCTCCCCAAATGTGTTAGTAATAGAAAATAAAAGAATTGAAAATGCATCAAAATATTTGTCTCTACAAACAAAAGTTTTGGCAGCTTGTATTTTCTCTTTTATTACTTTCTGAGTTTCCTAATATTCAACAAAACTAATATATTTTCAAAGACTCTTTTCAGTTTTAAAACATAATGATGAGATATCTTCTCACACCAACCAGAATGGCTATTATTAAAAGTAAAAACAACAGTAGGTGAGGCTGCAGAGAAAGAGGAACACTTATACACTATTGGTGGGAATTCAAAATAGTTCAGCCACTGTAGAAACCAGTTTGGAGATTTCTCAAGGAACTAAAAATAGTACCACTATTTGACTCACCAGTTCAATTACTTGGTATATACCCAACGGAGAATAAATCATTCTATTGAAAAGACACATGCACTAATACATCCATCTTACTTAGCGCTATTCTCAGTAGCAAAAAGGCAGAATCAACCTAGGTACCTATCAACAGTAGATCAGATAAAGAAATTGTGGTACATATACAACATGGAATACTACACAGCTATAAAAAGAATGAAATAATTTTATTTGCAGCAACATGGATGCAGTTAGATGACGTTGTACTAAGAGAATTAATATAGAAACAGAAAACCAAATACTGTATAGTCTCACTTATAAGTGGGAACTATAAAAAAATAGACATACTGACCAATGAAATAGAATAGAGAGCCCAGAAATAAACGTACACACCTACAACCGTCTGATCTTTTACAAAATTGACAGGATTTTGCAATGAGGAAAGAACATCCTATTCAATAAATGATGCAGGGATAGCTGGCTAGCTATATCAAAAGAACTGGACCCCTACCTCTCACCACATATAAAAATCAATGCAATAGGGATTAAATACTTAAATATAAGACCTCAAACTATAAAAATCCTAGAAGAAAAGCTTCTTGATATTTGCTTTGGCAAATAATTTGTGAATAAGTCCCCAAAAGTAATTGTAACAGAAACAAAAGTTGACAAGTGGGACCTAATAAAACTAAAGAGCTTCTGCACAGCAAGAGCAATTACTGACAGGGTAAACAGACAACCTACAGAATAGGAGAAAATAGTCATAAACTATGCATCTGGTAAAGGTGTAATACCCAGAATCTACAAGGAACTAAACAAATAAACACCAAAAATAAACACACAAATAACCCTATTAAAAATGGGCAAAGGCTATGAATAGACATTTCTTTAAGAAGACATAGAAATGACCAACAAATACATAAAAATTGCTCAACATCCCTGATGTCAGAAAGATATAAATCAAAACCACTGATACAATCTCACACCAGTCAGAATGACTATTAATAAAAAGTCAAAAATAGCAGGTGCTGGCCAGGCTGCAGGGAATAGGGAACACTTATACACATTTTGTTGGAATGCAAAATACTTCAGCTCCTTTAGAAAGCAGTTTGGAGATTTCTCAAATAAGTAAACATAGAACTAACAGTAATCTCGTTAGAGGGTATATACCTGTAGTAATATAAATCATTCTACCAAAAGAAACATGCACTTACATGTTCATCAAAGCATTATTCACCATAGCAAAGACATGGAATCAACATTAAGTGCCCATCAATGGTGGATTGGATACAGAAAATGTAGTACATCTACACCATGGAATACTACACAGCCATAGAAAGAACAAAATTATGTTCTTTACAGCAACATGGATGGAACTGGAGGTCATTGCCCTAAGCAGATTAACACAAGTACAGAAAACCAAAGACTGCATGTTATCAATTATAAATGGAGCTAATGATTGAGTACACATAAAAATAAAGTGGGTAAAGCGGGACACTGGGAACTAGATGCAGGAGAGAAGGAGAGGGGCATAGGCTGAAAAACCACTTATTGGGTATTACACTCACTACCTGAGTGATGAGGTTATTTGTACCCCCAAACTCAATGCACTCAATATACCCATGTAACAAACCTTCACATATACCCTTTAATCTATAATAAAAGTTGAAATTATAAAATAAAAACAAAAATGGGTACACATGGACATAAAGATATGAACAATAAATATTGGGAACTATGAAGTGGGGAAGAAGGAGGGAGAGCAAGGGTTGTAAAACTAACTATTGGGTACTATGCTCAATAACTGGATGATAGGTTCCATCGTATGCCAGACCTCAGCGTCACACAACATACTCTTCCAGCAAACACACACGTACCCTCTGAATCTAAAATTAAAATTTAAATGAAAAAAAAATTGAACTTTGTTACTGTACATCACATTCCACTATATTTTACTTGGCATATATCTTTTTTCATGTGTATAATTATTTTTAGCATGTGTTAATAAGTGAAGAATATCTAGTTCAACATTATTGCTAAGATTTGTAATAATTTTTGCCAAATCAATTTACAGAAGGTCTATTTCAATATCCTCTCTCATCAGGTGAGCATGAACTTGCTGGTTTCTCCTTAGTCTCACAGAATTTAGTATTCTCTGTCTATATCTTAGATATAAAATAATTTTTCAAAATGGTACATTGTTGTCGATAAAATTGATATTTATTTGAAGGTTAATATTCACTAGGTGTAATGTCAAACTGGATACTAAGGATATTAGCATTTGTTCTGAAATCTGAAAATAATCTGGATTTACTTTTCTTTTTCTACTTTAATTTAATTTTTAAATTTTATTAACATTTCGTGTGTTTTAATAATTAGAAAAAGACCTTTAAAAATCTCAGTTCTACTCATGTAATACTTTGCAAAGAAACTCTTACCCTTTACCTTAAATAACATTTAATTAGCATACTAATATCTAGCATACTAATATCTGTTAATCACTTATTAATTATTTGAAATTATGTTAATGTAGGCTTTTATTGTAAAAACTAAAATAAACAGAATATGCAAGAATATTAAAAAACTATTGTAGATGCAAGAAGAGGTATTTTGGATACCCAAATTGTCTTTAGTTATTTTAAATCATACCAACAGAGAGGTTTCACATTTAAATCCTTTAAGAGTAAAACTTTTTCTGTTCCTAAAACATAAGTAATTTTTTGAATAATCTTTTTTTTTTTGTTAAGTCTTTTAATCAACTGAATTGGTGGTAATATCACTACAATTTTTCACTCAAAATTCAATTTAAAAATTTCAGTTGTAATTCATTCAAATTCTGGCCTAAATGAAATACTTAATTCATGCTAATGCAAAATCTAAGTAAAATTTATAATAAATTTTAAAAATTTTATAAAGATTAAAACTTTTGAATTTAAACACCAGACTTTTTTCCAACACTATTGACTTTTTATCACTTTTTATGACTCAATATCATTACTTTTGAAAATAGTATTACATTAAACTTAATAATAATGTTTTTAGCCAGGTGCAGTGGCTCATGCCTGTAATCCATTACTTTGGGAGACTGAGGAGGGGGGATGGTTTGAGGCCAGGAGTAACTAAATAACATAGCAAGACCCAATTTCTACTAAAACAGTTTCTAATGAAAGTGGCATTGATTGACCCCTTACTATACATAAGACCATTTTAAGTATTCTGCTTGCACTGACTAATTAAGTCTACACGGCAAATTTTATGTGGCATATATGATTACCATTCTCATATTTCAGAGGCTGAAACCAAGGAACAGATATTAAGCAATTTTTTCCTAGTAGCACAATTTAAAAAAGTGAAAAAGTTGAACTCTATGTACATTCTTTCAGTATCTAGAGGCTTTTAAAGCATTTTTTGGTTTTCAAATTCTTTATGTTGATATAAATTTTCACAGACTTTAGCACTATTTTCTGTTTTGTCCTATAGCTGTCTTCCTGTATCTAGATGTTTTAGCCAGCAACTCTGTTTAAAATCTGACAGACAGAAATTGATGTTCCAAACAAGAGAGCTGTCCACATCCTTTGAATTTGAATGGTGCATGTCTTTGTCACTGTTTTCACTCTCTCTCTTCTTCTGTCCTGGCTCGCCAGAAATTTGTCTTTCCCTTGTCTTATTTGACTGATAGCTAGAACCAGCTTTGTGAAAGCTGTTCAGATAAGCAGGCGTGAAAACTAGTAACAAGGAAGTGTCATGGCTAGATTTACATCCGAAATGATAGGGAACACTGACAAGAACACTTCAGAAGCAGTTATTTGTGTCTGATGGTGGTAAAAAGTGATGAGAAAGGAACAATTCAGTAATCTAAATGCTGATTTGTTTGACTGGACAGATGAAAACAGTGCAGTGATGACTATCAGCTTGGTCTTTCTTTTTATAGAGATCTATAAGGTAAGTTGCTTCATTTAGATACACATGCCTCTCTCAATCAGGGATAAAAAGAAGGTGCAATATTTAAAAATCCAGTCAAGCATAATGGCATTCGTGCTTTCAAATTGGAATACAATTTAAAAAATGATAATAATATTTAATACCTTATGCATCACTTGATATTGAGGTTCAAATTTTCATTATTCAAATTGGCCTAAAGTTTCATTTTTATCTTACACTGTGTTGATGTGAGATTCATATATTTTCTTGCAGTACTTTAGGGTATCTTTCAGTTATCATGCCCTAAGAGTTATTGAATTTTGTTCTTCACTTTCATCATTTATAAAATGGGTCTCAAAATATGAATGCTTAACATAGCTATTCTTACTAAAATTAATAATGTAAGAGATGTAGAGCAATATGTAACATGCTAATAACATGTTAGATATTATCTTCATTATTACTTCATAGTAAATACAGAATGTTAGATATTATCTTCATTGTTACTATTTTATTGCATGCAATAAAATATATTGCATATATTGCATGCAGATGAGGGATCATTAATGCACTTAGATCTATGAACTATCAGGTGGCAAGGGGAATAGTTAAAGGAATACAATAAAATAAAGACAAATTTCTCTTCCAGTAGCAGTGGTTGTTGACATATTAAACTTAACTCTGAAGCCTTGGGGAAAGGAAAAATTGTTATTGAAATTTTTAGCCTTTCCATTGTTTGTCATGTAATATCACATTAGGAAAACAAAATATCTTTTAAAAGGCATGCAGTTCCATTTACCCTTCAATCAGGATGCTATTTAAATTACCCCTGAAGAATAAAAACATAGAATGTTGAAAAACAAAACAAAACACAACAATCTAAAGCAAAACAAAACAGAAATCCAAAAAAGAATGCTAACATGCTAAAAATTCTTTCTTGTTCACAGCCTACAGTCCATATGCTTCAGTCTATTGTGTCTTGATCTAAGAAGAGATGCAGAACAGATGGTATGTTGGTGGCAGGCTGAGTTAAGCTTATCTTCTGTAAGAAAAGATTTCTACTGTCCATATTTCTGACTTATTATACCCAATTTTAATATGCATCTTAAATGACAAGTGTGAAAATATAAGCACTTAAATATTTGCAGTTCTTTAAATCTTGACGAACATTGGTGGACATAGTTATTATATGAAAATTTAAGAGCTGTTTTCATGATGATTTTTAAATCCAGACTTTCTTCAGTCTTTGCTAAATTTAAATCTCACAGTTCTCAGGTACTAGAAAGGGGCCTTTTTATGTATGCTCTAGAACTCTTTGGCCAATATACGTTACTTAAATTTGTATATGAGCACATCATTTTTGTAAAAAGTAATCATTCTATTCTCTGCTTATGATGATAGCATTTTGATTCATTTTACTTCATCTAGTTTGGCAATATTTTGATAGAAAATGCATCAGATATAGGGTTCCTATAGGATCACAAATCAAAACTTTCATGTTACAGTGTTGATAAATTCTACAGACTTTGATAAAGTCTACAGAAGTGTAACATTCCCTAGACTCATTAAAAATTTTAATAGGATGTCCAGTCCCTTTGATAGGCTGCTATTATTATTAACACCTGTCAGGAGATGACTCAGCTAATTATTGAATAAGATGGTCTTAGATGATAAGATTTTTTTTCATATTGTGATATTTTTGAAATGAACAGCGCTGAAAATATGAAGACAAAATTTTGTTGTTAAATGGGTTTAAACCCATTTATTAGTTCTATGCACTTGGACAAATTTGTAACTCTTAATTTTGCCCATATCAGTATAGCATAATACTATCATTGGAATTACTTGTAAAAATAAAAGGAGTTATTATACAAAATTATTGTCACATGCTATCAGTACAAGTAACATATATTAGTTCCTCCATTATCTATTTTTAACTACATTTCTCTCTAATCTTTACATTAACTTACTTTTCTATTTTTCAAGTATACATATATGTGTATATATATAAGTATATATGTAAGTGTATATATATAAGTATATATGTGTATATATAAGTGTATATATATAAGTATATATAAGTGTATATATATAAGTATATATATAAGTGTATATATATAAGTATATATGTAAGTGTATATATATAAGTATATATGTAAGTGTATATATATACTTATATATATAAGTGTATATATATAAGTATATATATAAGTGTATATATATAAGTATATATATAAGTGTATATATATAAGTATATATATAAGTGTATATATATAAGTATATATATAAGTGTATATATATAAGTATATATAAGTGTATATATATAAGTATATATGTAAGTGTATATATATATATATATAAGTATATATGTAAGTGTATATATAAGTATATATGTAAGTGTATATATAAGTATATATGTAAGTGTATATATATAAGTATATATGTAAGTGTATATATAAGTGTATATATATATAAGTGTATATATAAGTGTATATATATAAGTGTATATATATGTATATAAAGGCAAAAAGGCAAGGTTTTATTTCATCTGCAAAATTTTCTCTGTGAAAGTTTGCAGGAATTCATTATAGCTGTTTATAATTTTACTTAAAATTTGTAATTATATAATTTTAATTGGAAATTATTGGAATGTGTAATTAAAATAAAAGTAATAATTTTAGCAGTTTACTAATTAAATTTCAGTGCATTGTCTCCTTTAGTTTATGTGATATTTGGCAAACTTTTTATTTAAAGGGTCAGATGGTAAATATTTTAGTCTTTGTGGGTCATATGCAACTCTATCACAACCACTCAATTCTGCCATTGTAGCGTGAAAGCAGTAACAGACAATAGTATGGTGTGACTGTGTTCCAAAAAAACCTTATTTCAAAAAACAGACAAAAATGGCAATAAGGTAAAACTGCACAACTATTAGAATAGCAAAAATGAAAATAAAAAAAAGCAATACCAAATTTTGGTTATGAAAACTCACTCATTTCAAATGGTGCAGCCACTTTGGAAGACAGTTTGTCAGATTCTTACAAAACTAAATGTACTTTTACTATATGGTGCAGTAATCATGTTTTAACATATATGCTGAATTGATTTGAAAACTTACTTTCATCTGCATGTGAATGTTTACAGAAACTTCATTCACGATTGCCGAAAATTGAGGGCAACCAAGATCTTATTAATAGATGAATGGATAAACAATTTGTAATACAGCCACATAGTGGAATATTATTCATCATTAAAAAGAAGTGAGGTATCAAGCCATCAAAAAACATAGACAAACTGTGAATTCATATTACTAAGTGAAAGAAACCATTATGAAAACAGCTACAGGCTGGATATTCCCAATTATATGCCATTCTGCAGAAGGTAAAACTATAGTAAAAAAGAAAGGAAGGAGGGAATTGAATAGCTGTATCATCAAAGATTTTTTAGCACATATCAAAACTATTCTGTATTATACTGTGTACTTGTGGATACATGACACTATGCAGTTTGTGAAACTCATAGAACTTAACAGCACAAGGAGTACGCCCTAATATATGTGATATAGTTTTGATATTTGTCCCCATGCAAATCTCATGTTTAATTGTAACCTCCAATGCTGGAAGTGGGCACTGGTGGGAGGTGTTTAAATCATAAGGGAAGATCCCTTATTAATTGATGCTATCTTTTTGATAGTTAGTTCTTGTGAGATCTGATCATTTAAGAGTGTATGGCACCTCCTTCCTCATTCTATCCCACTTGCTCCTACTTTCACCATGTGACATGCCTGCTCCCCCTTCACCTTCTACTATGATTGTAAGCTTCCTGAGGCCTCCCTGGAAGACTAGCAGATGCCAGCACCATGCTTCCTATAAAGCTGGTGGAACTGTGAGCCAAATAAACTTCTTTTCTTTATCAATTACCCACTCTCAGATATTTCTTTATAGCAATGCAGGAATGATCTCATACAATATGCAATTAAAAAATAATTTGGGAGGTCAAGAGATAACTGAATGCAATGCAAAATGTGACTAAATAATTTAACTATAATTATACAAAATAGCCTCTCTAAAAAGAGAGAAAAAGGTGCTGACCTAAGTTACTTTTGAAATCATTGATGTCCATAAGGACAGAAAAAAACTATGCATAAACATTGTACCGTAGTTGACATATTTATTTCCAATGGGGATACAGGTTAACAACACTAATGCCTTTATATATGTGTATGGGAACTGAACACTGAGTAAATGAATAGTTGAAGAGTGGAGCCAGGTTTTCAATTTTGGGAGTGAGAGGTTGTAGGTAACAAAAGGAAAGAGGCTGGAATGTTCCATGTGGTAACTGATTCAAGTTATAGACACAAATATTATGTCATATCATCTTTATAAATATGATTACTTATAAATATAAATATATTTCCATATTTGTGAATATAATCAGGTTAATATACATGTATATTTCCTTGCTTATCAGCTAAGAAGACTTAGACGCAATGAGCCCCAGAAACAGTAAGTACCTATAATACTCAGATTTTGGTTTCTAATGTCATTCTCCAAAAATAGGAAGAAGTTCTTTTTAGAGAATCATTGTAGGACTGGTGCAGTAAGTATACAAGATAAGCCTGGAACATTTTGTCATTCAGAAAGTAAAAAATTGCTCAAAAACAAAACAACAACAAAAATAAGCGATTATGCCAAATGGTCCTGGGGGCCAACTGAAAGTGCTCCCAATGGCTAAAGCTGAAATAATTTGAAAAATAAGATAAATAGGCTAGTATTGGATTATAATCCAAAATATAAAATAAATATCCACGAGTTTATAGTTATAAATGCTGCAGAATAGACAAATCTCCTATGCAGAAAATTTCTAAATAATGTATCTGGGTATCTCGCCTTTAAGGAGGTAGAATATAACTCCACACTCCTTAAGTGTAAGCTGAGCATAGTGACCTCCTTCCAAAGAGTACAATATGAAAAGTGAGAGTGGTAGGAGAAGAGTAACTTTACAGTGGAGAAACCTAACAAACATTAACTCAAGTAAGTAGATCTAGGTTCACATCAACATAAAAACACTTGATATGATGAACATGGCAATTTATTTTGTGGTCTTTCTTCCAAAAACTGATGACACCAGTCTAATAATGAGAAAAACATTGAACAAATTGCAATTGAGGTGCAAAATTTCTTGCTGGTATTCCTCAAAACTGTCATAGTTACTAAAAACAAAGAAATTCAGAGAAAATGTCACGGTGACGTAGAGCCTAAGGAGACATGACCACTAAATCCAATGTCATGATTGAGTGAAATTCTGAAGCAGAAAGGAATTGGATAAGAACTAAGAAAATCTGAATAAAGTACAATCATTTCTTAATAATGTCTTTATATTGTTTAATGGGTTGTGACAAATTTATCATACTAATGTAAGATGTTAATAATAGTGAGAGTAGATGTAGATAATATGGGAACTGGCTGTAGAGTCCTTGTATTTTCTCTGCAAATATAAAGCTATTCTACTACATATATTTTTATACATATATACATATATAAAAATATATATTTTTTGCGTGTGTGTGTGTGTAATATGGGTAGCAGGGTGGATTTGATATGTCGATAATTTTCATATCCCTGATTTAAGGTATATTATTTCATTCTTCCAATTATTTAGATGGGCAACAAGCTAGATACCTGTTTCATAGTACCTTCAAGCCAGACATAAATGGTCATATATTCAGTATGAGAGAGACAGAGGCCCACCTCCTACACTTGTTTGAATCCATGGTTATGGACTGGTTTGTTTGAATCATGTGTTTTTATATATGGGTATATTTTCCTGTGTCTTTAAATAAGATATATAGATGAATATGTTGTTAAAGAAATTAAAATACTGTTTTGTTTGGACGGTATGGTGTAGTCAAGGAGAACAGTAACAGAGACCACAAGTTTCTACTTGTGTCATCTGTGTAATTTGACTTAGCAGACCTGGGTCTTATTCTCATCTGTAAACCAAATTGTTGCAGTACATACTATCCAAGGTTGTTTAAATATTCTAAGACTGGCTTAGATGACTTAAATTAATTTTTGCATTATCCTTACATAGTATCCATGAAAAGACCAATTTACCTATTTCCTGTTGATTTTCAAATGGCAGGAAAACTAATTACTTCAATCAACAAATATGATTTACTCTGCACGTAACATTTGTTGGTAAGAAGAGAGCATCCAAAATCGGATGGTGGTTTGTCTGCACACAAACAGCCACCATCTTAGTACTGAAAATCTTAGTGCTGCAGTGTTAAAAGTAAACCTTTAAGGCACAGGCTAGGTGATTGAAATATGGAGAAAAAGAGAAGATATTTAAAACGTAGAAACATATATATATATGGAAATATGAAAATGATGGAAAAATGAAAAGTTACATATTTTTAACTGGAGTGATAGGAAAAAGCATAGACATTATTATAGTTGAAGACAATGAATCAGTTGTGATTAATGCAGACAATTTTGATTTGGAATTAACTGAAAGGTACTTAAAATAAGAGAAATCAAAAAATAGATATTACCCATATTTGGAAGTCAAATGAGCTGTCTGGTCAATAGTTAAATATTGTAGGATTTATTGAGATAATAGAAATTGATAAGCACGGATGTAGATACACACACCTTTTAAAGTTAAGGAGAGGGTGTCTCTGGATTAATTAGAACACAAGTCTATTTTCTCAACTTCACCCTTAAAAGATCTATAGATTCATTTTATTTTCCATGTACCTCAAATACAAATTTATGGCAGCTTTTATGATTTTTCTGATCTCCCCTAGTTATTAAAATGCCCGGTTACCTTTTGTCATAAACATATGGCAGTATAATTTTATAAACTCCAAGCTAGGCTTTGAGATTAAGTGTCTACCCTCTCTAATTGGAAAAGTATACTTTGAGAAACAATGGCCCAAGCCCATGTCTGCTATTTCCCTGCCTTGTGTTTCCTTTCCTCTTTCCTTCTGCCTGCCTTCATCCTCTGCTTCCTTCTTGACAGAAGACAGTGGGAACCTGTTTACAGGAACATTATTTTTCTGCTGGTACCATCTTTGGGAGGTTACCTATGCAGCCACAATTTCTTTAGCTTTATAGAATTAATTTCTACTCTAATGCATAATCCCAAACTTACATCTCATAAATAGAAAAAAAATAACAAAACAGCAGATATTGATTTAATATTTTAATAATTGTCACCAGTTTCAGAATGATTCCAGAGATATACTTCTTTAAGAAACCCATTGCTCTAAGTTTTTGCTTTTCTAGAACTTTTTGTCTCACCTTTATCTTGTTGCATACCTCCTTGCCTCTGCCTTGCTTCAATCTATATCTGGAAGAAAGTTCTTCCTTGTTGTTGCCAAAACAGAACTCATGATCATGTAAATTACTCATAATGAGTAATTGAAGATTACTAAATATATATGGAAATAACAAAGTGATTATGTTATATTTTATAATTATGTATTTGTGTAAATATTACACATGTATATTTTATGTATATACATATATACACACACACATATATATATATTCACACACACATACAAGTATAACTATAATTAGCTCCATATTCAGTTCTGCCCTGGAAGTTCTCCATGTTTGCCTTTTCTCCTTGCACCTGGGATTATCATCATTAAACCAACACCTGTTTCCACATATTTCTTTTATTTTATTGGGGATTCTTTCTGATTTCATTACCACTACATCTCTCCCATAATTTTCATTTAAATTACAAAATTCACCCACTTTTTAAAGCAGAGTCATTTTTGGAATATAAATCAGGTACTGCAACTTCTTTATTTTTAAATATTCCAGTGGCTTAGCATTATTCTCAGAATAAATTTCAACCTCTTTATGGTGACCTAAGAGATCCTTGCCTCTAGCTCTTGACTACACAGACATCTCAGCTGTTGGTCCCCGGCTGTTGGAAGTTGACTACACAGACATCTCAGCTGTTGGTCCCCGGCTGTTGGAAGTCCAGTTGCACTGGATCCCTTTGTGTTCTTCTAACTTCTAAGCCTCTTGCAGCTTCAGGGCCTTTATATTGGCTGCCACCTGTGCACAGTATGCTCTTCTGCAAGTCCTCTGCTGGCTTGGGCCACGCACACTCTGTCTCAACTCTCATGGAACCTCTGAAGAGGAAATTCCTGATCACATGTTCTAAAGAGGGCTTCTCCCACACTGTGTGATTTATTTAATTCATAGAACATACCATAATATGTAATTAAGCTGTTATACATTTTTATCTGTTTTGTCTCAGTATGTAAGCACTATTATAGCAAAATTCTTAATTATCATTTTACTACTGCTTTCATATCTGCTATATATATTCACTTAAAATCCAAACAAGAAAAGTTGCAAGAATTGTCAGTAAACACTTGTATATCTTACATCTATATTCACCATGTGTTAATATTTTGAAATATGTGTGTATTAGGCAGGGTTCTCAAGAGGGACAGAGCTAATAGTATAGATATTCATATATATATAAAGGGGAGTTTATTAAGTATTAACTCACACAATCAAAAGTCCCTTAATAGGCCATCTGCAAGCTGAGGAGCAAGGAAAGCCAGTCCGAGTCCTAAAACTAAAGAACTTAGAGTGTAATGTTCAAGGTCAGGAAGCATTCAGAATAGGATAAAAATGTAGGCTGCGAGGCTAGGCCAGTTTAGTCTTTTCATGTTTTTCTGCCTGCTTTATATTCTAGCCGCACTGGCAGTTGATTAGATGATACCCACCCAGATGGTACCCACCCAGTGCCTTTCCCAGCCCACTGATTCAAATGTTAATCTCCTTTGGCGACACCCTCACCACATACCCAGAATCAATACTTTGCATCCTTCAATCCAATCAAGTTGACACTTAGGATTAACCATCACAGTGTGCTTCTGCTTTCTATCTATGAATACGCATAAGCATATACCCATTACATTATTGGTATCCTTTGTTGCAAAATTGTAGACATCATCTTGTGTTACTTATTCAGTGTGTTTTTCTTCATAGGAATACAATACAAATTATAATTCAGGACATTTAATATCAATATATATTATTTTTTAAATAATATATGGACAGCAATTTTAAATTTGCTGATACAAGACTATGCATTTCATATTATTGTTCTGTGTTTTTATTTTATTTTATTCTACATATATTATATATTGATGTTTTGAAAGGTGCAGAACATCAACGGGATGCAAACACAAGCCACAGGGTTGGAGAAGATATTTGAAAAACTTATCTGATAAACACTGCTATCCAAATTCTACAAATAAATCTTAAAACTCAATGACAAGAAAATGAACGAACCAATTAACCAGTGGGCCAAAGACGTTAGTAGTCACCTCACCACAGAAGATATACAGATAGCAAATAAGTATATGAAAAGATGTTCAACAGGATACATTATCAGAGAAATACAAATTAAAACAACAGTGAGGTAACACTATATACATATTAGAATGGCCAAAGTCCAGAACACTGAAAACATAAAAAGCTGGTTAGGATTTTGAGAAACAGGATCTCCCAGCCATTGCTTGTTGGAATGCAAAATAGTACGGTTACTTTGGAAGATACTTTGGTGGTTTCTTACAAAACCAAACATAACTCTTACCATATGATCCAGCAATTGCACTCCTTGATATTTACCCAAAAGAGCTGAAAACTTATATTCACACAAAACACTACGCACAGATGCTTAAACCAGCTTTATTCATAATTATCAAAACATGGAAGCAGCCAAGATATCCATCAGTAGGTGAATGAATAAATAAACTGAGGTACATCTAGAGAATAGAATATTATTTGGTGCTAAAAAGAAATGAGCTATCGAGCTATACATAGGACATGGAAGAAACTTAAATGCATATTACTAAATGAAAGAAGCCAATCTGCAAAGACTACATGTTGTATGATTTTAAGTATATGACATTCGGCAAAAGGCAAAACTATGGAGAGAGTAAAAACATCAGTGGTTGCCAAGCGTTAGGGAGTAGAGAAGGAATGAATAGAGCACAGAAGATTTTCTAAGGCAGTGAAAATACTACATATGATGCTATAATGATGGATATTGTCCAACACTGGACAGATATGTAATTATATATTTGTTCACACCCATTCAATATTCAACACCAAGAGTGAACTCTAACCTAGACCGTGGACTTTGGATGATACTAATGTGTCAACGTAAATTCATCACTTTTAACAAATGTACCACTCTGATTAATAATGGGAAAGACTGTACAAGTGTTGGGGGAGAAAATATACTTGGTATCTCTGTATCTTCCTCCCTCTCAATTTTGCTATGAATCAAAAACTGCTCTAAAAATGTAAGTCTTCAAAAAAAAAATAGAATAGTTGTTTTGTAAAATCTCCTGCTTGGGTTTGTTGATTTTTTTCACCTGATTAGATTTACATATCACATGTTCATCAGGAATACTACGTAATTGGCAATGTGCTCTCACTGAATTGCATTAAGAAACATGGGATGCCAGAATGTCGCATTATTGGTGATATTAACTTTGATCACTTGATTTAGTTGATGTCTGCCAGATTCCTCCCCTGTGAAGTTAGTACTTTCTTCTTTGTAGTTTATAAATAATTAGTGGCGAAATATTTTGAAGTGTTATAAATATCTCTGTGCTCTTTAAGCTTTCATCTAGTGATTTTAACAACTATCTTTCTAGTTACATTATTTCTTCTACATTTATTTGTTAACATTCTACTTTAAGAATGAGCCCTTCTCCCATTTTATGTATCTGTATATTATACTGAATATGTTTGAATAAATTATTAGTTTTATACATATAAATGTATTCTTTACATGAGAGTAAGTTAGTTTTTCAAATGAAGAAAGTAACATGAAGCATGAAAATATGGCAGGGAAACAACCCAAGGTACAAAGCAGGTATAGAGACACAAGAAACTTTGCAAAGCTGGCAAAGAAAGTTTAACCAGCATAATAAATAGTCATGTTATTTAACTTAATCACATTTGAGGAGAATCAAGACTTCTAAGTTTCGTAAATGTTGGGGAGCACAAGTTTTCAAGGAAATTTCAGCTGGGTCAAATGTCATAGACTTTTAAAGGATAATGAGGTTATGAAAATAGTTACTTTACTTATGAAGTATAGCTACTCTACATATGCAAAAGTAGATATGTGGATTTGTGGGCATGAAAATATATTTAAGGACATCATCAGCAGAATCAGTAATAAATAATTAAATCTATTAAATGTAGACCAATTCTCCAGGAGATAATGTGGTGAAGATAGAGGAAATGGTCATAGCTAACATAAGTGAAACAAGGTGAATTGTGTTTCTTTTAAGATGGAGAAATAAGAATGTATGTTATCAATTCCTAGGTGTCTGTAGTAGAAATGAAGAAGTAGAAGAGAAATGCAAAACCAAAGTCTTAAAATGTGATGTAATAAACAAACAGTACCTGACACAGTCCCAGTCCTCCAGTTACTTCAATCAAATTAGAAAGGGATTTGTAAAGCATTAAAATATCTAAAAAAAAAGCTAGATATTTAAATAGCATATTGTAATTTGATCAATGTTTTCTTTCATGTATATAGCCATATTTAATTACCATAAATATGTAGTAAAGGGGATACTTTATTCTTATTTTACCTCTAAGGTTCCTAAATTTCTTGTAGGTATGACCTATACCCTGTACATACAGAGGATTTGGAACTTTATTCCTATTCTAGGAGTTACATATGTGCATGGGTTGGAGTGAAAGGAGAAATCTTGGATAATTTTGTATTTTAAATTGCCTTTTAAATATAGAAAATATTTCTGTTATTATAGAATGATGAAAAACACATTATGGAATTAGGATGCTATTGATGAAAGGTGCAGAGACAAGCATGTGCATGGTGTATTGGAGGAAAAACAGGGTGACAGCGAGGCTCGGATGCTTCAGCCTCTTTTGTGTGTGCCCCCATGCTGGGTATACAGGACATGTCTCACACAGCCCTCATAACACTGCCTGGTCAGTCATCCTTCTGCAGCCTCCACCAGACCGTGCACTCTGCAAACAGGGGCTGTGTTCTTGTGTTCTTTTTTTTTTTTTTTTTAATCTCTATTGCCTAACACAGTGCTTTGTACCCTATATGCATTTGTTGAGTAGATGACAGAAGCAAGAGATCAAGCTGAAAAAGTAATTTGAGGCAAGGGCAAAGTTTCAAGCTTTCAAAGTGATTATGTCAAAGAGTCACATACTTGCTGGTTGTCTTAATTTAAAAGGAGGCATTCATTTTAAACTTTATAAATTAGATCTATGGCTTGAGAATATATTTCCATCAAAATGTAAGTGAAATGTTCAGAACTGTGTCCCTGCGTATCTTAGAGGATTTTAGTGGATTAATAAGATGATGAATTTAGCTCAGTTTTGCTAGAATTCAATACTGACTGAACGTGGGGAAATGCAATATTTAAAATGATACCACGTTAGAGTATACTAGTGTACCTAATAATAATCTTGGAAGAAAAGAATTAGCTTTTGCTTTCTGATTATTTTGTAATAAAGAACCCGGCCAGTGTTAAAAAATAATAATTAAAAATTATGCTGGCCTTTTCAAAGGTGGGATGAAAGGTGGGGAATTCTAATTGACCTTCCCCCAAAAATAACATTATGACTGATCTCTCTATAAGGTGGAGACTTCAGTTTATTAGGAATTTCTGACTTGCACTGATAAAATTTAGGAATGCCTACCAAGGACTAGTATTCCAATCCATGGTAGGGGTAATGAAGAGGACAGGTAACATTTTAAGCAAAAATATACTTAGTCCTACCAGATGTGTTTTCTTAGCACTGTTGTACATCCCTGTGAAATTATAATGTGAGCTCTCCAAAGGTGAGATATTCCAATGCATCTAAATCAACACAAGCTGTTAAGAGTGTACTTAGGCGTTGAAGATGATTTAAGTAGCTACTTTGATTATATTAAATGTATGTGAAGTCAGTTACCTCTCTGTGATGAGAGAAAGGAAATGACATTGTTAAATGGAATGCTTAGGTACTTTTAAAAATTAACATAGTCAAGTTCCTTCTAACAAAATATTTAATTTGACGTGCCTCTGGTGCAGATTTGAAGATCAATGAAAAAAAGTCCTATAATTGAAGAATAAAATGAGATACATAGGTATTTACAACTCCAATTAAAAATAACGAAATTTTTCAACCAACAATTAAAAATTGAATAACCAATTAGTAACTAAAATGTTTTCAGAGTCAATTTAAACATGCATACGTTACAATTTATGATAATATAATTCAAATATTAGTTGTAAGTTGTGTGTGACCAAAAATACTCTTTTGACTTATTAGCAGAAAATGTGAGCAGAATTACTTTTTTTTGGTGACTGTGGGGTAGTCAAAATTCCAAAGATGTTGTTCCAAGATTCTTATCTGTTGGTTATTGAAGGAGACATTAATCCAGGTACTGCTGTGTTGGGACTCTGCATATGGAAATGAGGCTGCTAGTTAGGGGATTTTAAAATAGGTAGGTTAGTCTTGATAATTCATATAGGTCCCAAACAATCATACAAACCCTTAAAGATGAGAAATGTTGGGAGTAGAGTTAGAGAGATGTGGTCCAAGAGGGAGGCAGAGGAAAAGGTGATAATAATATCAGATAAATATGAAGCATGAGAAGGTTCCTATCCTCATTAATGACATTGAATGGGGCCAGAAATCAGAAAATGCAGTCAGCTTCTAGAAGCTGAAAGTGAGCCCTGGCCAACAGTGAAAAAGAGAAATGGGGACCTCAGTCCTAGAATTGCAAAAATAAACAAACAAACAAACAAATTTTTCCAACAACTTGAATAATTCTGTTCATTAAGCATAGCCCTGCAGAAACACTGGTTTCAACTTTGTGAAACTCATTGAACATGTTATAGTGGGTAGCTAGTCAGACAGGAACAGGGCAGGAGAGGGGCCCCCACACCCCACCTGGAATGTCAAGTAATACTCAGCTGATTGTCAGGCAGTTGTCACACTACCTCTCTAAAATAAGAACTGGTGGCAGTCAGTGCCAGGAAAAGGTAGTTTCCCAATAAATAAAAACACCTAAAACTGGTGATGGGCAGCTTCCCAGTAAGATCTCAGGAATTGGGTATGTGGGGCTCGAGCATGCTCATTAAGAGGCAAAATGGTGCAGTTTAACTGTTATATGACCTTCCAGGGGCATTCCACCAGAAAAAGGAAGAATGCTTCAGGTGAGCATGCATACAACTCCAGTAAACACCCAGTCAAAGCCTTGGTCAAATAATCAGTTTCTCCAGTTATGTCCTGTTACAAAAGAAAACAGATTCTTATTACACTTTTGCAAATAACCATATTGTCATAAGAATACTCACAAGTAGTTTCCAAATTCTGGAGAAATCAGGTAGAGAGAAACAAATATGCTCCACATTTTCTTATTTTATTTTATTTTAAGTTCCAGGGAATATGTGCAGGATGTGCAGGTTTGTTACATAGGTAAACCTGTGCCATGGTGATTTGCTGCACCTATCAACCCATCACCTAGGTATTTAAGCCTGCCATGTGTTAGCTATTTTTCTTGATGCTCTCCCTCTCCCTCCATCCCTCCACCCTGACAGGCCCAGTATTTGTTGTTCCCCTCCCTGTGTCTATGGGTTCACACTGTTCAGCTCCCATTTGTAAGTGAGAACATACAGTGTTTGTTTTTATTTTCCTGCATTAATTTGCTGAGGATAATGGCTTCCAGCTCCATCCATGTCCCTGCAAAGGACATGATCTCATTCCTTTTTATGGCTGCATCATATGCCATGGTGTATATCTACCACATTTCTTAATCCAGTCTATCATTGATGGGCATTTGGGTTGATTCCATGTCTTTGCTATTGTGAATAATGCTGCAGTGAACATACATGTGCATATCTCTTTATAATGGAATTATTTATATTCCTTTGGGTATATACTCAATAATGGGATTGTTGGGTCAAATGGCATTTCTGGTCCTAGGTCTTTAAGGAATAGCCACACTGTCTTCTACGATGGTTGAACTAATTTACATTTTTACCAACAGTGTAAAAGTGTTACTATTTCTCTGCAGCCTCACCAGCATCTGTTGTTGTTGTTGTTTTTGACTTTTTAATAATTGCCATTCTGAATGGTGTGAGATGGTTTTGTTTTTGTTTTTGTTTTTGAGACAGAGTCTCACTCTGTCGCCCAGGCTCGAGTGCAGCAGTGTGATTTTGGCTCACTGCAACCTCCGCCTCATGGGTTCAAGTGATTCTCCTGCCTCAGCCTCCCAAGTAGCTAGGATTACAAGTGCCCACCACCACTCCTGGCTACATTTTGTATTTTTTTTTGAGATGGAGTCTTACTCTGTTGCCCAGGCTGGAGTGCAGTGGCATGATCTCGGCTCACTGCAAGCTCTGCCTCCCGGGTTCTTGCCATTCTCCTGCCTCAGCTCCTGAGTAGCTGGGACTACAGGCGCCCACCACCA
Organism: Homo sapiens; assembly: GCF_000001405.40. Lineage (NCBI taxonomy): Eukaryota > Metazoa > Chordata > Mammalia > Primates > Hominidae > Homo > Homo sapiens. The sequence goes on from NC_000013.11 coordinate 84,253,100, forward strand.
CACCCAGCTAACTTTATTGTATTTTTAGTAGAGACGAGGTTTCACCATGTTAGCCAGGATGGTCTTGATCTCCTGACCTCATGATCCACCTGCCTCAGCTTCCCAAAGTGTTGGGATTACAGGCGTGAGCCACTGCACCCCACCTTCACTTTGGTTTTGATTTCCATTTCTTAATGGTCAGTGATGTTGACTTTTTTGTCATATGTTTGTTGGCCACATAAATGTTCTCTTTGAGAAGTGTCTGTTCATGTTCTTTGCCCACTTATTTATGGGGTTGTTTGTTGGTTTCTTGTAAATTTGCTTAAGTTCCTTGTAGAATCTGGATATTAGACCTTTGTCAGATGGATAGATTGCAAAAATTTTTCTTCCATTCTGATGGTTGTCTGTTTGCTCTGATGATAGTTTCATTTGCTGGCTTCTCATTTTCTTTACATGAGTATATTTTACTCAGTTGTTAAAAGCTATAAATAGCTCAAAAGAAAAGTCTCCTCTTGATTTCAGGCCATGAAATTCCATATGCTCTTTGTTGAGGGATACTATCTTCTCAATAGTCAAGAGTCGCCCTTCTACAGGAGACCCCTAAACTACCTGTCAGAGGGACATGACAGGTGAAATTCTGCCTCTGTCTCCCTTGGACCTAGCTGAATGCTGCTTTCACCAATCCATGGAGCCAACCCTGCCCTAACAGCTAGCAAGAGACCAAGACCCATAGAACCACCACCACCACCCCTCTGTCAGCAGGAAGGAGTTATAGAAGACTGACCTTCCATTTTCCCCAAAGAAATGTGATTTTGTATTCTTGAAGGGGGAAAGATTACAGTGGGTAGCTGGTTCAGACAAGAACAGGGCAGGAAAGGGCCTCCACACCCCACCAGGACCGTCAGGTGACCATCAGGTGATGGACAGGCAATTGTCACACTGCCTCTCTAAAATAATAATTGGTTGCAGCCAGTGCCAGTGAAAGGCAGTTTCCTAATAGATAACAACACCTGAAACTGGTGATTGGAAGCTTCCTGATAAGATCTCAGGAGCTGGGAAAGTGAGCTAGACCATGCTCATTAAGAGGCAAAATGGCAGAGTTTAACTGGTATATGACCTTCTGTGGGCATTCCATTGGAAAAGGGGAGAATGCCTTAGATGAGCATGCGTATAACTCCAGTAAACACACTGTGATGCTTACCTCCTAAGTGCTAGCAGGCTACCGCACATGTGGGCAGCTCACCCTAAGAGAAGAATCAAGGGAAATGAGATGCAAGATGCCAGAAGTAGGCCAGCATATAAAAATCTAAATTAAGGCCGGGCGCGGTGGCTCACACCTGTAATCCAGCACTTTGGGAGGCCGAGGCAGGAGGATCACGAGGTCAGGAGTTCGAGACCAGCCTGGCCAACATGGTGAAACTCTGTCTCTACTAAAAATACAAAAATTAGCTGGGTGTGTTGGTGGGCACCTGTAATCCCAGCTACTCGGGGGGCTGAGGCAGGAGAATTGCTTGAAACCAGAAGGCAGAGGTTGCAGTGAGCCGAGATCGCGCCATTGCACTCCAGCCTGGGCAACAAGAGTGAAACTCCATCTCAAAAAAAAAAAAAAAAAAAAAAAAAAAATATATATATATATATATATATATATAAATTAAAAGATCCAGCCTGACACTTGTCCTTCAAGTCACCCTCTTGGGCCCCTTCGTTTTTTTCTTGCTTAAAGCTTTTCAATAAACTTTCACTCCTGCTCTAAAACTAGCTTTGTTCTCTTCTTCTGCCTTATGCCGCTCAGTCAAATTCTTTCTTCTGAGGAGGCAAGAATTGTGGTTACTGCAGACTAGTACAGATTTACCACCAGTAAAGAAACCCCCCTGGGCTTCTGACCTGAAGAAACTGTGAGAAAATAAATTTGTCTTGTTCTAAGTTGCTAGATTTCTGGTGATTTCTTATGGCAACAATAGAAAACTAATGCAGTTACTGTTTTATTCACAAAGAGAGGTTAATATTATAACACTTATTTCTTAGGACAAATATAGAAACTACAATATGACCTCTGTCAGATTCACTCCTATGTCAGGGAGTTAATTTCTTGTGTAATGTCCTTTTGAGAACATTCAATTGATGTTCTCATATGCCATAAATTTTAACATCATTCTTTCTGAGAAACATTTACTAATTTCAAAATGTTCTCTAATACTTTTACTGTTTAGAGAAGATATGAGAGACCAGATGACTCTTGACATTTTAGATTTAACCAATTATGAAACTTGGCATCAGCTGGTGGTTGTAAAATCTACAATTTTAGAGTACAATGTAGAATAATGAGTTGCACCATGTTAGAATATTGTTTCAGTCTATTGGCCTGCTGTAACAAAATACCACAAAGTGGGTGGCTTATAAACAACAGAAATTGATGAGGCCATATCCCAGGGGAAATAAGTTGAGCTTCTGAAAAGAGATACACTCTCCTCTGCTTGACTGATTGTTAAGATATGTGCCTGAGTTGTCATCATATAGAGCTTGACAATGGAGATAATCCCAGAGAGGCGGAACCAACCCCAGAGAGGCGGAGCAAACCCCAGAGAGGCAAAGCCAATGTGTGTGTCCTGGTAACATTGTTTGCAACAATCGAAGAACATAAAAAATTACAAAAGAAGACCAGCAAAACTATCTAACAATAGAAGAGCATCAGGACAAATTCTTCTGCCAGGTAATCCTTAATGATGCAAGATTTAATGTCAATTATCATTTCACAGAAAAACCTTTTTGAAGAGAAAGATAAAATTTAATTCATACCCATTGATTAAATTCAAGAGGAGATGATTGTTCAGATAAAAAAATTGGAAAAAGATGAATTTCTAAAAATATGAGGAGCTCAGTCAGAAAACCCTGATGCCACCTCTGACCAGAAGATGAAATGGAAAGGAGTGGACTGCCTCTGTTTCTCCCTTTCTCTTTCAGGTCTGGCGGGACTACTTAAGAACTTGATCTGTTATCATCTGGGCTAAAGCGGTTTAAGCCTCCAGAAAAAGTTTCTTCTATAGGGTGAGAGAAGAAATGGGAAAGCTCATTTCAATGTGGAATTAAAGACATGAATCATCTCACAATTTCAAACCTTGCATTTAGCATGGAGAGTGTGTGTCCCCAGAAATGTTCTGAGGCAGCAATTGAATTGCTATCTAGATAAAAGAACTGGAAGAAGTAACACAGAGGGAAGTAACAGTGAAGGATTCTCCTTGGTAGAAAGGACGTAATACCCAACACACAGATACTTTGGGTGGTGTAAGAAGTGTCTCTGTTCAATCATTAGGTTTGCCTGAGATGTGTCAACTTCAAGAAAGTGAGAGAAACTCAGTTCTGTCTGATGTGGAGGAATAAGTTTTATTTGATTGAATTCCGGAGTTTTGTCTCATTTCATTACAATTTTAACCATTTTCCTATGTACTTTTAGAATTGGTGGAGTGTCTGCCAGGGAACAACTCTGTGTGGCAGCATTACAATACTGTTGAAGCAATCCTTTTGAACACTTTAGTTCATTTTCCCTCAGTATTTAATGAAAATGAATGGTAGGAAAACAGTAACAGTAATGTATTAATGTAAATGATTAATTGCATAGGTCTCATAATCATAACACTATTGAGCCAAAGATGGGGCATATTTAGGCTGTGAAAACAGCATATCTTTCACTGCATTACCTTTAGAGTGAATAATTGTATATTCAACTATGAAATAAAGAAACAAACTTTAAACCATGAGTCTGGAAAACAATAAAAATTTTAAAAATCAAAAAAAATAAAAGAAAATTATTTCTCACAGTTTTGGAGGCAGGAAAGTCTAAGATCAAGGCCCTGGTGAATTTGGTGTCTGGTAAGGGCCTATGTTCTAGCTCAGAGACAGTGCCATCTTGTCACAGCCTCACATAGTGGAAAGAGCAAAAGTCTCTCTGGGGTCTGTTTTATAAGGGCACTAATCCCATTCATGAGGGCTCTGCCCTCATGACCCTGCCTAAGTACCTTCCAAAGGTCCCACCTCCTATGACTTTGGGGTTAGGAATTCAATATACAAATTTTGGGGACCTTAAACATTTTTAACATAACAAATATGTAAGGAACAAGAAACATTTTCTTAATGTATGCCCCATAAATATGATAGAAACAAAGTTACTAAAAAACAGGGAGTTTTCATTAAGTGTCTGGTATCTGTTTGTTTTAAATTGGACAGTAAGCATTTTAGCAACAGAGACCTGGATTAGACTCTGAGATCTTCTGTTTACCATTGAGTGACATTGGATAAGATGCCAAACCTTTCTGGGATGCAGTTTTCTCATTTGTAAAATGAAGAATGATAGTAGCTCCTTTCCTAGATTGTCAGAAGGATTAATTAAGATAATGATTATAAAGTGATAAGCACTATGCCCACCACACAGTAACCCATGCTGGAAGAATAAATTGTAACAATCATCATCATTACTATCTACTTTGTAAAATCCCATTAATCTATGCAAGTCTGTTTTCTTGCTGCTTTTTTTTTTACTATTGCCATTTTATATAGTTTCATAATTTTACACAATTATATATACCACAGAGATAGAATTTTTTTATTTACCTCCTTTTACTTCTGGTTTTGCTTTATATTTTACCTAAATTGTTTACGAAACAATGTACCTTCCAGTTCCCAATTGCTGAGAGGACAGGATAATTCTAATTGTTTGTTGTAATAAGCTCTGTGATAAACATCTGTGAACATATGCCATTTTCTATCATATAGCATTACTAACTTTTGAAGTTATAACCTTAAGTTAAATTTCTAGGAGTAGTATTCATGTCTTTTAAAATATAATATGTGATTGCTTTCACACTGGTGAGGTGATGTTGCTGAACACCTCCCTCAACTATGTATGTTGTAATTTACACTTTCCCTAAGTATCAGAAGCCTTGTCAGTTTTATATGAGTTCGCTTAACCTTTGTAATTCCTATATAAAGTTTATATTATCAATATAAACATTAGATTATTTGTAATGTTCTTATAAATGTTCTTATAAATCTTTACATTCTACGTAATATTATAAACATTGCATAATCATATATGTGATTTTTCTATTTTTATTTTCTGAATTTCTTTCCTTCTGTTCAAGTTTTACAGTTTTGTGTAATCCACTTAGGATATCTTTTTCTCTGTGATTTTTTAAATTATTTACAATTTGGGCTAATTGTAACTGTCACAATAATAATCCAATTTGATTTCAATTATTTTTCTGCTCATTCTTCCACTTCTATCCTGTGTCTATGTGACTCTCTATATCAGTTCTGTCAAATTGAACTTGTTTTGGTGACAGAAATAGTCTATATTTATACTGTCCAACACAGTAATTGCTAGTCAAACAGAGCTATTGAGCACTTGAAATGAGACTAATAGGACTGTTTTTAAACCCTTGATCTTAACAAGAATATTTACAGTACATAAAAATATGTGATTTTTACTTTATTGATACCAGTGACATGATTTATTTCCTCCTTCAGGATAGGAAAAATTGTTACATAGAACTGCTCACATCTCAAATTCTACACCTGTGCATAAATGGGTTAAGTTTATATTGACCAATACAATTCTACATTTCCCTTTATTTATCTGTCATTTATTGGAACATACAAGAGGCCTTCTATTGTCCTATGTAAGATGAATGCTGTCTTCTATTTATTGGATATATGCTGCTTTACACTTATGAATACATATATGCTTTATAATTGTAAATATATATTTTTATATATGTGTTTGTGTATATATATCCATATAGATATTTACACTGATACATGTATACATATAGATACATATATACGTGTGTGTGTGTGTGTGTGTGTGTGTGTGTGTGTGTGTGTAGGCATACCTCAGAGATATTTGAGTTCAGTTTCAGACTGAAGTGTGCCTATATATATATTTCTAACTTTGTAAGTAAAGAAAGGTACATACAGAACACTCTTAACAATTCAGATTTTTCAGAAAAAGAAGCAATACAGATATTCCAGAAAAAAATATTTTATTAAAGAGTTGTTCTGAAGTAGGCATCATGCAAAATTTCTAGAATGAAAGAGAATCCATCTATGTATACTCCAAGGAAGTGGAACAAATATTCCAACAGGTGAGCAATCTGCACACTCATATGCGTTATCTCACCAAATGAAACCTCTGAATAACCCTACTAATTACAATGAATCAATAATCAGACACAGTAAGATAAATACTCAATAGGAAAGAAATTCCATCATTAAAACTAAGAGTCTCTCTACTTCCACTCTTGTCTTTAAATCAAGAGGGCCTTAAAGTTCTCCTCAGTTTAACTTGACTTTAGACAAGCTTCTTCCTAACTAGGCGCCTGACCTCTTTTTTCCTAGAGTGTTTACTTTAGAAAACTTGTACATTCTATTTTTTTGCCCCTTTGATATGTAAATCTTTTTAAAAGCCTCTTTCCAGTTTTACAACCGAGGAAGGTCATTCTCAAGTTGCTGAGGGTTATTCCATTGAAATGTAACCATCAAGGGAGATAGCATATATATATATATATGTACATATATATTTCCCTTGATATATATATACACACACATATATATACGTATATATATGTATATATGGGATATATATACGTATATATACATATATATGGGATATATATATATATATATATATATATATATATATATATATATAAAGAATTCTCCGTTTTCCTTTGGGTAGGGCCAATAAGCAAAACTAGGGGGCCTTGGCATCCTCCAACCCTTATCTACTACCTATCACACCTCTGTCTTTAAAAAACTATCCAGCCTTTTGTATTAGTGGAAGCTGAGCTTAGATTGAGTACTGGCCTCTCCCTATTATTTTGAATAAACTCTTTTTTGCCTGCTTAATTTTTCAGGGGAATTTCTGCTTGGTAATCTTTTTTTTTTAATCTACTTGCAGTATACAGTTGTAATCACTTTACAGCCTGAGTCAGATCATGGTTCTCTTCTACTCAAGACCTACAGTGGTTTACCTTTCATTCACTTCATGAAAGCTGAAGTCTGTACATGACCCTATTGGACAAGGCCTCTGCAGTCCCTGTGTTTAAACTCATATACTTTCTACCCAAATCAGGTTCTCCTCCAGTGGTAGCATCATTCATGCAGTTTTGTAGGGAGAAATCTAGGAGTTACCCTTGAAAACCCCTTTCCCTGAATTCCCAATAATCAGTCATTCATCAAATGCTGCCACTTTTACCTCCTGATCCCACTCAAAGCTGTCCTTGTTTCTTTCCACTCACTGTTACCCTCTCGTATAAGCTACATTGTCTCCTGCCTCAACTACTGCATTAGCTTTCTACTGCTCTTTGAATACTAGCTACTTTTCTGCTCTGAACTCGTCAAGGTTAAAAAGGTGTGAGAGTAATGGGACTAAAACTTTGCAAATAGAAATCTGATCATACCATACCCATGTGTAAACTCCTTTTGTAGTTTTCCATTGATTTTTAAATAATTTTTAAATTCTAGAATGTGGCTTCTAATGTCCCCATGTATAATGTGACCTGTGATTATCCATCCTTCTTTCCACAGGCTGTCCTTTGTCTTCTTGTTCCAGCTCATACCCAGGCCCTTGAATTTACTGGAACACTATCTCTATCCCTACCTCCAAACACTTATACATCCTTCTCCTAGTGGCCTCTTAACTGGCTAGTTTCTAATTATCTTTGTTTTCTCTGCTCAAATATAACTTCCCCAGAACATCATCCCTGTCTTCTACTAGGTTAGACTCATTAACTATTTCTTTTTATAGTCACTATCTTTCATAGTACTGTCTACCAACTATCCCACATCACAATGGTAATTTTTTGGTAATTAATTAATATCCATCTCTTCCATTAGACTATAAACACCAGGAGAAAAGGAATTGTGTCTATTTTAGTAGGCATTATGTCCCACAGTAGGTGCTTAAATACTTATTGAATAAATTCATACCTATCGATTTCTACTTAAAAAAATTCAAACTAAGGAGCCTAACACTTAATCTCGGTCAGTTTGGGTTTTTTTTTTTTTTTTTTTTAATCTCTTTCTTTCCTGTATTGCATCTCTCTTATGGGAAGTTTTACATTATATTAAGACATTGGCAGGAGGTGTCACCTCTGGCTCTCTTTGCTCTCCACTTAAACTGAAAAGCTCCTATTCCTTCTATCTGTTTGTTACTGAACTAATCAAACTGGCATTTACTGAGTCAGCTCTCACCATAAGGTTTCTTCAGTGATAGCTGGTCTATCACTTAAAGACATGAGGACATTGCTGCTAATTTTGGGCTCTGCTGCAGCACAAATACCACTGACAGTTGTACTTTCTGCTAAATATCATTATGCAACTATCCGATTCCTAGGATTTTCTCAACTCCCCAGAGCTTCCCTGGAAAATGGACCATTGGCCCCTGTTTTTCAAGAACTATCATCTCAATTTTATGTCATGTCAGGGTAATCATTTCCTGGTTTCTAAGGGGACGCTCTTGGCTGTCTTTCTCTAGACAAATGAATTTAATTGAGAGGGCAGTCAGCTCTCCATTTCTGAGGGTTCATGCAGATATGGAGGGCCCACTAAAGGCCATGAACATCAGCAGATTTTGGTATGATGCAGTGAGAGTGTCCTGGAACTATCTCCCACAGATACTGCGGGAAGACTATAACTGTTTCTATAATATCGTTTTGTCTTCAAAGACTCCTAGCATAATATCTATGGTGAAGACTAGAAAGCTGCTTTATATTCCTTGTCAATAGCTTCTCTGGTGAAATGAAACTGAGAAAGGGAAAAGACCACATGGTTAAAAGGCAGGGGAGTGGTGGGCAGGTTGTATGTAGTGCAAAACAAATAATAATGAAAGAAAAAAATTTCATCCAGCTACCTACTTATACTAAATGCTAGACAACATATGGTGTTAAATCATTTTAGTTCTAGAAAAAAAAATCCACATGCAATAATTTTAAAATGTTAAACAAAGAATATAGGAGGCCATTATTGTATTTGTTTGTTCCCCTTCATATTCAGAGGGGTTTGAATTAGCTATCTGCAGCAGGCCTCCGTAGACAGATCAAACCAAAATGAAATCACTCATGCTAAGCGAAGCAGATAAATCCCCCAACAAACCAGTTTTTCCTAAAAAGCAGGAGATTCACAGCAACCAATTAGAACCACTCCAACTGAGTTAGCTTAATGAGTGACCTCTCTGCTTTAACTCTTAAAAGAAGAGTGACCTGTAGTAACCCGATGTTAACCAACCTGCTTTTTAAAAATTTTGTTTTCTTCTTCCCACCTTACAAAAACCAACTGTTCTGTCATGCCCAGTGGAATAATCTTTCTGTTTTATAGCCCAATTCTACAACTGCAAAGAAAGCCAATTAGGTCTTTAATTTCTTTTATCTTTTCAATATTATTTAATAGGTAGTTTAAAATTTTTCTTTAAAGTAAAAAGAAATTGGGCTGGGCGTGGTGGCTCACGCCTGTAATCCCAGCACTTTGGGAGGCCGGGGCGGGCAGATCACGAGGTCAGGAGATCGAGACCATCCTCACTAGCATGGTGAAACCCCGTTTCTACTAAAACTACAAAAAATTAGCGGGGCGTGGTGGTGGGCACCTGTAATCCCAGCTACTCGGGAGGCTGAGGCAGGAGAGTGGCGTGAACCCGGGAGGCGGAGCTTGCAGTGAGCCGATATCGCGCCACTGCACTCCAGCTGGGTGACAGAGCAAGATTCCGTCTAAAAAAAAAAAAAAAAAAAGAAAGAAATTTGTTCTTTTTGTTCTTTGGATTTAGTAGTTTTCTAACAGGCACACCTAAACATAAAGCCTAAAAGGTGGTGGTAACTGTGCTTTGAGCTGTCTTTCTGTTTTTCTAACATAGACTTATATTTACATTTTAGCAAACTACTGCTTTACTTTTTAGAAAAATCACTGTAATGGAACTCTTCTGCAAAGAAAAATAAAAAAATTCTATTAGGAAAAGCAGAGTTTCAAGAAAATAAAGACTTAAATTGCTCTGCAGAACAATGTAAAAAGTTTTCTTCATTGCAGAAGGAATGTGGTTTTGGCAATGTATACATTATTTGTCCAGTGTTATCCAGAGAAAAGCTGGAGTAGCCACCGGACAATCGCAGTTAGCTAGCTCATTCCTGATGAGAATCGAAAGGGAAACGCAATTGTGTAAAACTCAAAAAACTCAGTCTGTGGGGCTATTCATGCTGACTGCTTCAGGCTCTCTAAATAAGACCCAAAAGAAAGATGATACATATATTTTCAGAGTTGTAAAGTATGCCCCAGCTGGCAGACAAAATGAACTCTTGTGATTTACGGAGACACCTAAACTTAAAAGCAGAATCAGGCAGCCACAGCAAGATAGGAGAGTGGTCACATGCCCTGCGTGCTTCGAAAATGCTTTTGTGTTCTCAGAAAGGTGTTGTAAAAGTAACACAAGACTGCCTTTTCTACAGTCGAGCCAAACCAGTTTCTGTGGTTGCTGAGATAGACTGCAGCTGGAAATTCCCCAGCTGAACAACAGACCACCTGCCATAAACTAACTGGCCACCTGAAGCCAGCCAGGTAAGGGAGACTGGTGCTTTGGGCCTTAAAGGTTATCCAGTCAAAACTTCCTCACTCCCCTCCTCTGCCCTCTGTTTTTTGCCGTTCTAATTTCCTACTCTGCCACCTTTTCTACTCTCTGGCCTCTTCCTGGAGCATAATGCCACTTTGCAATGAAGGCTGCGTCTCCCCAGTCTGCAGACTGCTTTTAGAAAATGAAGTTCTCTGGCTCAGCATGGTGGCTCACACCTGCAACCACGGCACTTTGGGAGGCCAAGTAGGGGTGGATTACTTGAGGTCAAGAGTTCAAGACCAGCCTGGCCAACATAGTGAAACCTTATCTTTAGTAAACACACACACACACACACATTAGCCAGGTAGGGTGGCACACGCCTGTAGTCCCAGCTACTCGGGAGGCTAAGGCAAGAGAATCGCTTGAACCCGGGAGGTGGAGGTTCCAGTGAGCCAAGATAGTGCCACTGTACTCCAGCCTGAGCCACAGACAGAGACTCCATCTCAAAAAAAAAAAAAGCAAAAATTAGCAAGGTGTGGTGGCTCATGCCTGTAATCTCAACTACTCAGGAGGCTGAGGCATGAGAATCACTTGAACCTGGGAGGCAGAGGTTGCAGTGAGCTGGAATGGTGCCACTGCACTCCAGCCTGTAGTCCCAGCTACTCAGGAGGCTGAGGCATGAGAATCACTTTAATCTGGGAGGCAGAGGTTGCAGTGAGCTGGGATGGTGCCACTGCACTCCAGCCTGGGGGACAGAGCAAGATTCTATTTAAAAAGAGAGAGAGAAAAAAAAGAAAGTTATCCTGTTGCCTCTACACATCTCATTGGTGTTTTCGTTGATGAACGATTTTCCTGGTTGTAGTGAATGACGGTTTGGGAAGAAACAATGGTTAAATTAAAATAATGGCTAAGAGATAACAGTTTTTTCCTGAGTAGAACAGACATTCCAACTTCAATTTTGAAAGAAACAGACTGATAAATAATGCTGTGGGCTAAATTGGGTCCCCTCCAAATTCATAGGTTGAAGCCTCAACCTTGAATGTGATAACATTGAGCCCTTGGGAGATAATTAGGCTCAGATTACATCACTGGTGTGGGCCCTCATAATGGAACGAGTGCCTTTATAAGAAGAGACATCTGGGAACTTGTTCTGTGTCTTTCTTCCTGCCAGGTGAGGCCACAACCAAAAGGCAGCCATGTACAAGCCAGGAGGAGAGCCCTCACCAGAAACCAACCACGCTAGCACCTAGATCTTGGAGTTCTAGCCTATTAAATACATTTCTGTTGTTTAAGCTGCCCAGTTTATGTATTTTGTTATAATACATCAAGCCAGCTAAAATGATGAATTGTGAGGCTTTGAATGGAAGGATTTAACTCTATGGAGGAGAGAGATAAACAAACGAGCAAACAAAAAACAACCAAATACATATATACTATTAAGAGGAGCAAAGAAAATCCCTGTAGGGACAAGATACCAGAAGAACTCAGGACTATTAAGGAGAGAAACTTCATCAAATGACTCAAAATACATGGGCATGTGTGGTATGTGGTGGGGTGTGTGTGTGTGTGTGTGTGTGGCTGTAGGTGTGAGTTGTATTATAATTCAGTTATTTTATATGCAAGTCTTTAGTAACGTCTTATTAATGTGACTGATTTTACATGTTATAGAGTTCTAAATGATGTGTCCATTTCTAAGATTATCGAGAAGAAATCAGCAGCCTGGAGAAGTCAGGGGTGGTGAGGCACGAAGCACCCTGGGAAGAGGTTCGGCAGCTGGCTGATGTAAAGTATTCAGCTGAGCTAGCTGCAAAAGCTCAGGTCGGTTCATGTCATATGCAGTCACTTGTCATTAATTTCCTAACATACATGTGATTAAACTGGAAAAGGACTAGATTCTCTGCTGACAAATGAAATGAGATAAGAAGAATGATATCTGAAAGCTAAAGAAGGCTGAAATTCCTGGAATGGCAGGCAATGATCATATTATTTCGGATCTAACAAGCATCCTCAGGCATCCTACCCACAAAGAGGGAGAATGATCCTGTCCTTGGCATTGCTCTCTTATTCAGGCCATAAGCCTAAACTTTGCAATCTGGCTTTCCGTGCTCTTATAGTATTGCCACATAAATATAATTTTGATAGTGTTTGTTTGTTTGTGTTTCCTGCAGATAGCATTTTCTTACTCAAGAGAAATTATAAAAAAATAGGTAACTTTGAAGTAACAAGAAACTCACAGATTTCAAAAGCTTATTTTGAACTGTAATAACTGGTTAGTCAGGAAAGATTGGCTGACACTACTATATTAGTATAAATACGAAGATAGTGTAATTCTATAAATATACAGAATAAATAATGTGTAAGGACAGAGTAAATAGACTGAAAATTTGCCATCAGAAATACTGAATTATTCAAGCAAAGGGCAATATTGTGTGAAGAACTTTTGGGAACAGCATTGAGTTTTTCAAAGAAATGTTTATTCAATTTTGAACTGATCCAGAAAAAATCAAATCAAAAACAAAAACAGGCAGCTCTTATGAAACTACAAAGTATATGCTCTCCCAAAAAGCATTTGAAAAATTACTTGCTAAACCATTAGAACATTTTGAGAAAGTATTGTATTCTAATACTGGTTCTGACATTAATTTATTTCTCTCTTACTTGTGAGAATAAACAAAATTTTTCAAATTTACTAGACTGATTTTGTACCTTTCCTTTGAGGTCATATCTAGAGGAACAATTGCTAATGTAATCTAAACAGAAAAAACAGCTTTAGTAAAGTTAGTTATATCTCCATAATACACTGATTTAGACATAACTATAATAGAAATTCAAAACCTGACATCTAAATGTGGATCAATAGCATTGTAATATTTCCAACTAATAACATTTTTTATTGAGGTTATATGATCCATGAGAATTTAATTAAATTAACACCATAAGTTATGATAAATTCACTTAAGATCTGAATTACAGATAGAAGAAACTTCTTGTATTTATTTGCATTTCATAAAACAATAATACTCCTGATATATTTTTTAATAATAAAACAGTATTTAATGAGAAGGCTACATTACTGAAACTTTTTAAAGCAATTTGATGAAAGAAAAAGAAACCTGTTAGTGTAAAACTGGCAACATTTTCAGCATTTCATTATTTATTAAGTACTTGAATAATTGTATTTCATTTTTTAAAGCAAATACAAATTATATTTTTGTATGTTATTTTTAAGTCTCATGACCATGAAATAAAACAAGCAACATTTTATTCTGTTCATCTCTCTTGTTAAAAATGGCAAAACAATTACCATAATACACACATTTCTATATAACATCCTAAAGTTAATATATTAGAACAAAAGATAAATTTTTCGAGCACTAGAGTTTTTTGAGTTTAGTAAAAATTTCAAAATAATCTGGTAAAACTTGGCTTCATCATTGTGGTAGAGAATTCTGGCTTAGGTGGGGATGCATCTAATAACATATATTTAAATCCTTATTTAAGGTATTATATAAAATCACTCAAAACAATGAGAAAGGAATAAAACCTAGCAATATTAATTATTTAACTGTGCATGATAAACTACATTGCAATTTTTCTTTGTAATAATACATAAAACTCATTCAGAAATGCTAACACTGTTTTATAGATGAACACAAGAAAGTTAAAACTGGGTTCCATGTCCAAGGACATGTATGTTGAAAGTGATAATATAAAGGTTGTAACCATAGATTTATTTTCAATCAAATTGACCCTCCTTCTAGAACTTCACACTGTGTTCAAAGTGAACATTTTAAAATATTATTTTTTATTCTATGTATTTTTTTACTTGTACTCTAATTGTTTTAACACCAAAACCTACTTGAGAATACAGACAACATTTTCTGCTTTATTTTATTGTTTATACTTAACATGGTTCTGGACCCATAGAAATGGCTATATATTCTAAGATAAGTTTCAGAGGAGGTGTAATGTAGCTAAGGAAATTATCAAAATTATCAAAAGCAATAGAAAATATTATACTAAAACATAATAAAGCAGTTTCAATGAAAAAAGACCATGCAAGTAAATGTCCTTGTGAATTTTACCCATTTGGAAATAATGCTACAATGAAAAAGATTTTGAAGAAAATGAATGGAATTTTTCTGATAGGCAACTATAAACTCCTATTAAATTTATAGAGAATTTGGCTTAGTTATGTTTTCTCTTTTGTAAATTCACCAAACCGTCAAAGAATGGCAAAAGTCACAAAAAATTGATGCAATGCATGCTTGTAACAATGTTAATTATAAAGAAGAAAAGCATAAAACCCCGAAAGATTGCAGAAGAAAGGAAACATTTTGGAGCAAAGAATAACAGGCACTTTTGCAGGCCAGCACTAACCCAGGGAGTGATTCAGTCATTAGAAAGCAAATTAGCACAGAATGAGAGAAAATATTTGCAAATCACATATTTGATAAGAGTTTAATATCCAGGATGTATAACAAATTCCTAAAGCAAACAAACAAAAAAACCCACCAAAAAATTTAAAAATGAGCAAAGGACTTGAATAACCATCTCCTCAAAGAAGATATACAAATTGCCAAAAAGAATCACATGAAAATATTTTGAACATCACTAATCACTAGAGAAACGAAAATCAAAACTACAATGAGATAGCACTTCAATGCCATTATGATGACTATAATATCATTTAAACAAATTTTTTCAAGGATGTGGAGAAATTGGAATCCTGTGCATTGCTGGTAGGAATATAAAATGGTGCAGCCTCTGTGGAAAAATATATGATAGTTCCTAAAAAATAAAATGGAATTACTATAATTTTCAGCAATTTCTTTTTGGGGTATGTGTCCAAAAGAATGGAAGCTTGGACTGAAACAGATATTTGTGCACTAATATTCATGGCAGTATTATTGACAAATGCTAGGAAGTGGAAACAACACAGATATCGATTAATAGGTGAGTGAGTAAAGAAAATGTGATATATAAATACAATAAAATACTTGTCGGCCTTAAAAAGGAATAGAATTTTGATAGATGCTTCAATATGGATGAACTTTGAGGACATTATGGCAAGCCATACAAAGGGAAAAATACTATATGATTACACTTCTGTGCTTTAGTCAGAAAAGTAAAATTCATAGTGACAGAAAGCAGAACAGCGCTTAGGGGGGTGACATTATGAGGAGTTAGTGTTTAATAGGTACAAAGTTTCAGTACGGAATGATACAAAGTTCTGGAGATGGATAGTGGTGATTGTTGCACAACAATGTGAATGTCCTTAATGCTACTGAAATTTACACTTAAAAATTGTTAATGATAAATTTTATAGTATGTACACTTATCACAATTTTAGAAAAGCAAACCAGCTCCTTCCTAAATAGAGTAAACTATAGGCTTCAATAAGGAATAGTTAATTAAGAAAATCTTCAATTATGCAGATTTGCTCAATATAGATATTTAACAAATACTACCTTCTTTCCTTCTTTTCTCTTTCCTTTCTTCGTCTATTCCTACCTTTTATTTTGGCTTCCTTAGATGGTACTACATGTACACAATGACACACATTGACACACACACAATTTGTTAAATCTTTTGTAAAGCTAATAAACATGTGCACTGCATATATACCACAAAACTTCATAATAGGCGAATTGCCTTTACCAAGCAATAATGGTATTTAAATTGGGTAACAGCAAGCAAACAAAGATGAAATTCATCAATGTTTCAATTTACTCACAGTGTGTTGACATTGAGAAATGAAAAAACACTCAAAACAATTTAACAACAATAAAGGTAATCTAAACTGTTACCAGATTTAGCACATATTTAAATTTTCAACTCAAGTGAAATTTGATACTCCTGAGTGACTAACTCTAGTTTTAGAAGGAGGAAACTGCATTATTTTATTTATTTATTTATCTATTTATTTATTTAAGGTATAATTGACAAAAAATGCATATAATTAACACATACAAATTAACACATTTTGGCATATGTATACTCCTGTGAAAAATCATCATAATCAATATAATGAATATTTATCACCCCCAAATTTTTCCTCATGCTACGAGATAATTCCTCCTTCCTGTCCCTTCAACACATACCCTTATGTCTAGGCAATAACAGATCTCTTCTGTCATCAGAAGTTGATTTGCATTTTATAGAATTCTACATAAATCGAATCATAGGGTATGCACTTATTGTTGGTCTGACTTCTTTCAGTCAGCATAATTATTTTGACCTGTATGCAAGTCTTTGTAGGGTTATATACTATAATTTTCTTAGATAAATATTTAGGAGTAGAATGTTTGGTTTCTCTTGATATAGTCCATTGTATCAATTTATCCCTTTATTGATTTTTGTTTGTCCAATCTGAGGCCAAAAAGATCATATTATCTCTTTTGTTTTCTTCTAAAATAATTGTAGTTTCTGGTTTTCCAATTAGATCAAGTTTTAATTTTTAATTAAATTTTATATAAGATGTGAGTTGTATGTCAAAGTTTATTTGTTGCGTATCTTTTCTCCACTGAAATATACATTTGCCAAAATCAGTTTTTCATATAAATGTTTATCTTTTTTCTGGACTCTGTATCTGTTACGTAGATCTATTCATCTTTCTTTACACAAAAACCACTTTGCCTTGATTATAGTATCTTAATAATAAGTCTCATATCAGGTAGCTTTAGTTATACAATTTTGTTTTTTCTTAAAGTTGATTTTACTACTCTGCATCATTATGTTTACATCATTATGTTTCCTTATCAATTTTATTTAGTTTTTAAAATAAGCTTCTCAGTTTCTGTGAAAAAAAACAGCTATTTTTAATTGTGGTAAAAAACACATAATACATTTATTTTCTTAACCATTTTAAGTGTACAGTTCAGTAATGTTCATTATGGTCATTATCACTGTGCAATAGATATCTAGAACTTTCTTATATTGCAGAACTACAACTCTGTAGTTTGGAATTAAGTGCTAGCGTCCCCTTTTCTCTCCCTCCCCAGCCTTTGGCAACAAATTTAATTTTCTGTTTCTATGATTTTGACTGCTTTAGACATTTCACATGAGTAGAATCCTACAGTATTTGTCTATTTGTGACTGTGTGACTGGTTTATTTCACTTAGTATAATATCTTGGAGGATTGTCCATGTTGTATGTGACAGGATTCCTTATTTTTAGTCCTGCATAGTTCATTGTATGAATATACCACATTTTTATATTCATTTATTTATGGATAGACATTTGGGGTGTTTCCGTGTCTTGTCTGTTGTAAATACTGCAATGAATATGAGTGTGAAAATATCTCCATGATTCTGCATTGAATTAATTTGGCTGCTTCCCTAGTAGTGGGATTGCTGAATTATATTGAAATGCTATTTTTAATTTTTTTAAGGAACATCCATACATTTCTCATAATGGCTACAGCATTTGACATTTGAACGACAATGCACAGCAATTCTAACTTAATACGCTCAAAACCACTAGTTATTTTCTGTCCTTGGGATAATGGCCATTACAATGGATGTGAGGTGATATCTCATTTTGGTATGAATTTTCATTTCCTTTATGATTAGTGACTTTGAGCACTTTTTATATGCTGTTGGCCAGACTTTTAGGATTTTGGTTGATTTTTTTATAGCTATTGACCATATTGGGTAGAATTGATAGCTTAACAATACAGGGTCTTCAGCATCATATACATTGTCATATTCATTTAGACTATCTAATTTCTCTTCAGCAAAGTATTGTACTTTTGAATACATAGGCTTAACAATCTCTAGTCAGTTTTATCCTTAAGTATTCATATATTTATCATTGTTGTAAATGTTATTGCTTTTAATTTCAATTTTGGATTTTTCTAAAACTGAATAATGACAGCTTATTTCTTCATTTCTAATCCGTCTCTCTCTCCTACCCTCCCTTCCTTTCTTTTTTTGCGGTTGGTAAAACTTTCAAGTACAATATTGACAAAAAGTTGGGAGAGAGAAATTCCCATTTTCCTTTTGATCTTAGAGGAAAATCAGTAACATTTTTACAAATAAGTTGTCATAAGCTGTGAGTTTTCTTAGAAACAATTTGTCAGTATTCATTTTTTTTAATTCCTAAGTTAACATATTTTGGCAAGGATGGATGTTGAATGGTTGTGAATGCTTTTTTCTGTGTCTTTTGTGAGGATCAGGTCATTTTTATGTTTAATTTGTTAATATGGTAAGTTACATTGATTGATCTTCATTATTGAAACAAACTAACATTCATGGAATAAATCCCACTTGATCATGATATGTAATTAGCTTTTCTTTATTTTGTTGAATTCAATTTGCCAAAATTTGTTTGTAATGTGTCCACCATATTTATGAGGGATATCTGTCATTTTTATTATTTTATCTAATTTATTTTCATGGCTTTGATATCGGCATAATAATGCCCTTATAAAATGAACTGAGAAATAAATATTTTAATGTAAATTACTAGAAGATTTTGTATAAAATTGGCATTATTATTTTTTTCTTAAGGTTTTACAGAATTCACCAATGAAACAATCTAGGCCTGGAGTTTTTTTTTTTTTTAATTTTCAAATTTATAGATAAAATTACATGCATTTATTATGTACAACATGACAGTTTGAAGTACGGTCATATGTGGTTTAACAAAGAAGATATGTTCTGAGAAATGCACCATTAAGCAGTTTTGTCTTCGTGTGAATATTGCAGTGTATTTACACAAACATAAGTGGTATAGCCTACTAGACACCTCAGCTGTGATGTGGCTTATTGCTCATAGGCTACAAACTTGTATGGCATATTATTTCATTAAGTACTGTAGGTAATTGTAGTAAAATGGTACCTATTTGTGTACCTAAACATAGAAACAGTTGAGTAAAAATACATATAAAGGATTAAAAATGATACACTATGTAGGGCACTTATCTTGAATCGAGCTTGCAGGACTGGAAGTTGCTCTAGGTAAGTCAGTCAGTAAGTAGTGAGTGAACATGAAACCCTAGGATGTTACTGTGTACTACTGTAGATTTTCAGAACACTGTACACTTGGGCTACATGACATTTATACAAATATTTTTTTGTTCAATAATAAAGCCACCTTAGCTTACTGTAACCTTTTTACTTTATGTACTTTTAAATATTTTGACTCATTTGTAATAATACTTATCTTAAAACACAAACACATTTCACAGCTGTACTAAAATATTTCCTTCCTTTATATCCTTCTTGTATAAGCTATTTTGCATTCATTTTATTTTATTTTTTACTATTTAAACTTTTTTGTTAAAAACTAAGACACAAACACAAAAATAAATCTAAACCTCCATGGAGTCAAGATCATCAATATCACTCTCTGCATCTCCACATCTTGTCTCATTGAAAGGTCTTCAGGGGCAATAACTCACATGAAGCTGTCATCTCCTATGATAACAAACGCCTTCTGGAATACCTACTGAAGGACATGCCTAAGGCTGTTTTACAGTTAACTATATTTTATAAGTAGAAGGAGTACATTCTAAAATTATGATAAAAAAGTATAATATGGTAAACACATGAACCAGTAACGTAATTGTTCATTAGCGTTATCAAGCATTATGTACTGTACAGAATTTTTTAAGACTGGCAGCTTAGTAAGTTCATTCACACCAGTGACAATGACTAATGCGTTGTGCTATAGTACATTATGACAGCTACAGTATTACTAGGTGATAGGTGATAGGAATTTTTCAACACCATTATTATCTTGTCAGACCACTCTCATATATGTGGTCTGTTGTTGCCTAATTTACCTTGCCACCGAAAATGTGCAAAGTTTGCCTTTTATCCACATCCTTTACACTTATTATTCATTTTTTTGATAATAGCCATTATAACAGGCGTGAAATAATATCTCATTGTGATTTTAATTTGCATTTCCCTATGATAAGTTATGCTGAGCATTTTGTCATATGCCGGTTAGCCATTTGTGTCTTCTTTTGAAGACATTTTTTCCAATTATTTTTGGAAAAAGGCAAGTTTTAGTTGGATTAAATGTATTTTTTTGCTACTCAGTAATCGGAATTCTTTATATATTTTAGATGTTAAACCCTTAGTAGATATACAGTTTATATTTATATACCTATATTTATATAGTTAGATATACAGTTTATATACTGTGTCAGATATATTATTTATATATTTATATTTATATATTTTGGATATTAAACTCAACAAATATATAGTAAATATTTTCTTTTATTCTGTGGGTTGTCTCTTCACTCTGTTGATTATTTTCTTTGTTATGCAGAAGCTTTTGCATTTCATGTAATCCCATTTGTCTATTTTTGCTTTTGTTGCCTGTGCTTTGGGGGTATCTAAAATATTGTTGACAAGATAAATGTCTTAGAACATTTCTCTCTGTTTTCTTCTGGTCATTTCCTAGTTTCATTTCTTACATTTAATTCTTTAATTCATTTTGATTTTTCTATACAGTGTGAGGTAAGGGCATGGTTTAATTTTTCTACATCAGAATATCCAGTTTTTTCAGCATCGTCTATTGAAGAAACTATCCTTTCCTCATTGTGTGTTCTTGACACCATTGTCAAAAATTGGTTGGCTCTAAATGTGTAAATTTATGTCTGAGCTCTCAATGCTATCCCTTTTATCTATATATCTGTTTTTATGTCAGTGCCCTAATGTTTTAATTACTACAGATTATTAGTACATTTTGAAGTCACCTAGTATAATTCCTCCAGCTTTGTTCCTTTTTGTTCAGGATTCTTTTGATTATTTGGGGTCTTTTCAGATTATACACAAATTTTAGAATTTATTTTTAATTTTTCTGAATAATGTTATTGCTATTTTGATAAGGATTGTAATGACTCTGCCTATTGCTTTGGGCAGTATTTGACATTTTAACAATATTAATTCTTCCAATTTATGGACATGGGATTTATTCATGTAATCTTCAATTTTTTCATGAAAATTTTATAGTTTTCAGCACGCAGATCTTTCACTTCCTTGGTTAAATTTACTCCTAATTATTTTATTTTGTTTGATGTGATAGTAAAGGAGATTGTTTTATTTATTTATTTTTACATCGTTTATTGTTAAAGTATAAAAACATGTCTGATTTTTCTAAGTTGTTTTGTATTCTTTAACTTCACTGAAATTATTAGTTCTAACAGCCTTTTGGTGAAGTCTTTAGTGTTTATATATATAAGATCATGTCATCTGTAATAGACAAAAAAAAACTTATTTTTTTTCATCTGTATAACATTTATTTCCCTTGCCTAATTGGTCTGGCTACGACTTCCCGTATTGTGCTGAGTTGTGCAAGTAAACGTTGTTTTCTTATTCTAGATTTTAAATAAATAGATTTCAAATTTTCACAGTTGAGTATGATGTTAGATGTGAATTTGTTATATATGGCCTTTAGTGTGTTGAGGTCCATTCTTTCTACAACTTATTATTTATTCATTTATTTATTTGTTTGTTTATTTATTTTTATCATGAAAGAGTGTTGGAGCCACTCAGGGCTGTGAACTAGCCCTGGCATTTGGGCACCTTGTGCAGGGTACCCAGCTTCCTCCCTCCTCAGTGCAGGGTATCCAGCTTCCTCCCTCCTCAATGTCAGCATCAGCTGTGTTTCTCCATCCACTCTGAGCATTTTCTCTTCAAAGAGCTCCCCCAAATTATGGTGATTTACTTGATACTTTGGACTCTCCTGGTGGCAGCAATGCTCCTTGACTACATGTATTTGGCCATCTATTCCCTTCTCCCTCAAGAAATATTTTAAATTTTTTGAAAAGCTTATTCATTGATCTATTTAGATTCATTGATCTAAAACAGAATGTGTTTAATTTTTGTGCATTTGTGAATTTTCCGAACTTCCTCTTGTGGTTCATTTCCAGCTTTATACTAATTTGGTCAGAAAAGATACTTGGTATGATTTCAGTCTTCTTCAATTTATTAGGACTTGCTTTGTTACTTTTTATATGATATATTCCAAGAATATTTTATACGCAGTTGAGAATAATGAATATACTGTGGTTTACTGAATGGAATATTTTATATATGTGTATACACCAGCAGAATACCACCTTTTATCTATAGTGTAGCTTAATTAGTCTATAGTGTCTGTAGTCCATTTGGTCTATAGTGTAGTTTAAGTCCAATATTTCCTTATTGATTTTCTGCTGGATAATCTTCCAATTGCTGGAAGTGAGCTGTTGAAGTCCCTTATTAATATTGTTTTACAGTATATCTCTGTTCAGATTTATTAATATTTTCTTTAAATATTTATGTGCCCTGATGTTGGGTGCTTATATATCTATAGTTGTTATATCCTCTTGCTGTATGTACCTCTTTATCATTATATAATGACCTTCATCTCTTTTTATTGTTTTTGACTTAAAGGTTATTTTGTCTATTATTAATACAGCTACCTCTGTTCTCTTTTGTTTTCCTTAGCATGGTGTATCTTTTTCTACACCTTTACTTTTAGACTATATGTTTTCTCACAGGTAAATGAGTCTTTTGTGGGCAACATACCCTGGGGTCTCAATTTTTAAAAATCTATTCAATTACTGTATATATTTTCATTTGATAACTTAATCCATTTATATTCAAGATAATTATCGATAGGTAAGGACACACTACTGCCATTGTCTTGTTTTGGTACTACAAGTTTCTTTGTGGAAAGTTTTCTAATTAGAAATCCAGTATCTTCAGTAGATATACCGAAACTCAGCTTAATCATTACTTCTTGGAATGCCGTTAGTTTAAGATGGATAAATTATTTCAAAAAAATTGTCCATTTCATATAAATAATTGAATTGACTGGCATATTTATAATAATTACCTATTTTCCTCTATCTCTGTGGAATATTTAGGAAAGCCGCCTCTTTCATTTCTGACATTGGTAATTTTCCCTTCTTGCCACTTTCCCAGTCACAATAGGTATAACTTTATTAGTGCTGTTGATCTTCCCAAAGCAAAGCTTTTTGGCCTGTGTTTCTCTTTTCAAATTCCATTTTATTGATTTCTCCTCTGAATTTTACTGCTTCTGTTTACTTTGGGTTTTATTTGCTCTTTATTTTCTAGTTTTCTAATGTATATCTGAGGTCACTGACATAAGACCTTGTTTCTTTACGTACATTTTTACTTTTTGCATTTTGTGTTATAAATGTCTCCTGAAACATGCCTTAACAACAACCAACAAATTTTTGATATAATATGTTATAATTTTTCTTTAGTTCAGAGTATTTTCTAAATTAAACCAGGCTTCCTTTAGATATGAATTACTGTTATTTTTCAGATATTTAGTGAGTGGTGTGAGAGAGTTGTTTCTGTTGTTTTAAATTTAATTCCATGTGGTCAAAGGATATTCTTTGTATAAGTAGAAATTATTGAAAGTCACTTTGTGTCTAAGAATATACTTATTATATTGATGAGTGTTTCATGTACATTTGTAAGAAAAGGTGATATTCTGCTGTGGTTCTGTGGAGTCTTGAATAAAAGGAAGTGAGATATTTTTGCTTGACAGTGTTATTCAGGTAATCTGTATCTTTTCTGATTTTCTTTCTCCTTGTTCTACCAATATTGGATGCATAGTGTGGTAATCTCTGGCTATAAATATGGAATTGTCTTTATCTTCTTTTTCTGTTAGTTTTTGCTTTATATATTTTGAGGGTCTATATTTAGCTTCATAGACATTTATCCTTTTTATGTACTTGTATGTACTTTTTCATTGTGAAAGTATTTTCTTTATCCCTGGTAATATTATTAGCTCTAAAATATATTTTTTTCTAATATTAATGTATCTCCTTTGGCTTTTCTTGATTAGTTATAACTGGTATAATTTTTTCATGTTATTTTCAATGTATTTCTTTTATACCTTAACTGTGTTTGTTGAAGGCAACATCAAGTTTGCCCTTGCTTTTCCATTTAGTCTGATTCTTTCCCTTTTGTTGGGGGTTTGGACCAATTATATTTAATATTATTATTTGATGTGGTTAAGTCTATTGCTTTGCTATGTTTCTCCTATTTATTTCATATCATTTGTTTCCTTTTATGTCTTTTGAAATGAATTTTTTTAATTGTTTCTATTATTAGCTTATTAGCAATTGCTGTTTATACTGTTATTTTATTTTGCCTTATAGTTTATTGTATACTTCTTTAACACGTGATATCGCATAAGCAAATGATATTTCAAAATGTTGTATCATGTATGAAAGAAGTATACAATAAACTACGAGGCAAAATGAAATAACAGTGTAAAGAACGATGGCTAACAAGCTAATAATAGAAAAAAAATACAAAAATATTTATTCCAAAAGTATTCTTTCATTTCTCTCCACTCCTACTTTATATATTATTACTTACATACATTTTACTTACACATATATGAATTTTAACACATTATGATTTTTATTTAAATAGTAAATCATCTTTTAATGGGATTTAAAGTATATATATATAAAAGACATAAAAGGAAACAAATGATATGAAATAAATAGGAGAAACATAGCAAAGCAATAGACTTAACCACATCAGTAATAATATTAAATATAATTGGTCCAAACCCCCAACAAAAGGGAAAGAATCAGACTAAATGGAAAAGCAGGCCAACAACAACAACATTTGTATTTTGAAAATGTCACGTTAACACTCATTATTAAAATATATTACCAATGTCTATAGAATTTTATATTGATAGTTTTTTTCAGTGTTTTAAAGATGTTGTTCTACTATCTTCTCACTTACAATATTTGTTTCTCTGTGTATAATGATATACACAAATAAAAAAGGTATCTTTTTCTCTGCCTGTTTTTACAATTTCCTTTCTCTTTATCACTGGCTTCGTGCAATTTGACTGTGGTACACTTTGTTGCAACTTACTTTATATTTATTGCATTTTGGGTTTGTTAAACTTTTTGAACTTAGGGGTTTATAGTTTTCAATAAATTTGAGAATCCTTCCCTTCAGGGATTTCTATTGCCCTTATGCTGTTCTTAATTTTACCAATTGTTTTTTATTTTTAGAAAGTTTCCATTGCCATTCCATTTCAAGCGTACTAATCTTTTTCTCTGCAATATTTTATCTGCCCGGTATTGTGTTCATTGTCATTGCATCTTTGATGTTGGCATTTGCTGCTCTAATAGTTTGTACATTTGTTTTGTAGTTCTATACCTCTACTTAATTTTTGAATATGTGAAATATAGTTTAGCTTTTAAAAGTGTTCTATTGTCTCCACCTGCTAATTCTAGCATCGATGCATTCTGGGTCAATTTTGATTGACTGTCTCTTTATTATTTTTCATTTTCTTCATTGTGAATTGTATTTCTCCTGCATGTTTATGTCATGTAATTTTGGTTGAAGATTCTATTTTTTTGCTCCCTCATACATTTTTTCAGTATTTTTGCGTGATACATAAAGTTATTTGAGAACAGTTTGATCCTTTTGGGTTTTGCTCATTGAATACTTTTAGGTAGATGTAAGCTGTATTTATTCTAGAGCTCATTTATTCTACACTATAAAAGCAATATATTTATGAATACTCTACTCAATGCTGTGATAATTTTAAGATGTTCTAGCCTGTCTAGGGTAACAGGCAGTTTTTTTTAGCCCCATGGGAACACTGATTATTATTCCTTATAACTTTTTTGGGTGGGTCTTTAGCCTCAGGGAGTTGCACTGCAGGAACACACCAGCTAATATGTAACTCAACACTTAAGAATGATACTCTCAGATTACTGGAATTTCTATGTGGTTCTCTTATTTGCCATCATTTGCCCCGATGACTGTTGCTGCCTTGTTTTATCGAGACACTTAGATTAATCTTCTCACCTGAGATAGTGTGCTAGGCCCTGCTTTGTTCTTTCTTTTTGTACCAAACCTGGAAACTCTCTAATCAGTATTTTGGCGCAATGGTAGCGCTCACCTTGTCTGCTTCCATTATACATTTTTCTTCATTGCTTAATGTCCATTATCTTGGAAACTGATATTCTGTGCATTCTGGTTTGGTGGTGGTTTTAGTCAGTCAGGAGAGTAAAACATGTCACTGTAATTTCATCTTGAACAGAAGCCCCCAAGTGACTTCTATAGTTTAAAGATGAATGAAATTTGATGTTACTGATTCTAATATAAACATTCACCAATAGACACAATTCCTCTTTCTTGCAATTATTAAGAGCAGAATACGGAGAAGGCTTAGACAGCTTATAATAGATACCACTGAAGTTTAGCAGTATCAGCAACCCTAGTCTGCCTCCCACATAGGCAATAGAAAATTCTATGTTTTCTTACCTTGCTTGAAGTACCTCATATCATAATGTTAAAAATGTACTTTCCATTTTTTATGGTTTAATTTCTAGGACACAGTGCAAGTGTTTTTGGCAAAGCGTTATTATTATTACTGTTTTATATTTTGAGTAATTAGTGTTTATATTAATTTGAGTTTCCACCAGCTGCTAGTAATTGTCAGACTTAAGACTAAAAGATTAAAAGCTATGACATTGTTTTTAAAGGGCAAGTCCCACCTCAGATTATGCAATACAATTATGACATTCTTATTTGGAGATATCTTTAGAATTAGAAGAGTCCTTTTTGAACATACATGAACAGCTGAGGACACAAAAATAGCTCGCTAAATAGTATGACATTTCCATTCAACTGTAGCTCTATCATTTTCTTTCCCTGGTTAAAACATCAGCAGGATTTCTAGGAACACAGAGACAGTATTAATACAGATGTTTTCTTATGCAGACCTTCATGTTGCCAGGTTGCCTTTTTAAGCTTGAAGGACATTTTCACAGTATACATACAGCCTTTTAAAATAAACTACCCTGCTAACACCTTGCATGCTAAGTTTACACTTGTGGCATTTTTGATGCCAAGTTACAAACCCCTGGGAATATAAATTTAATGGAAATCCTGACAGTTTTCTATCTTTAACTAAGAGAATGCTGTCAATGTTAGGTGACATTCTCCAGATAATACTGACTAGGTCAGTTCTATATAGCAAGCTAATTGCAAGATGTCTTTCTGCTGACAAATTATAAACTGTGCTTATACATGCTATACAAATACAATGTAGTTCAGAGTATTGAATGGCTACAGAGCTATCAGTAAAAGTTGTTATTTTCATTGAATAACTAGGAAATTGCTGTTTCTAGCACTTTTTAGATTACTGACATGAAATGTACATACTGTATCATATCTATCCCTGAGAAAATATAATCGTATTTGCTTCTGATTTTTTTAAAACTAATTTACTTCAAAATTAAGCAATTTTCATACTAGAAAATGGCAAATATAGAGCATAAGTTTATCAATTATAATCAACTTAAATTTAATTATAGTATCAGAGAAAATAATGTTTGCTTAAATAAAATTCCCAAGGAGTAAAATAATCATCTGTTGAGCCTGTTTTATATTTCTATCAAAAACTACAATTGTTTCTTTCTTTTAAAATTTGGTTTAGTTTCCTATGATAAAATAAATTTAAGTTGTCAAGTTTTTTATACTTTTCTTTGTCCTGCTCATCTGGTAAAAAATATAGAAAATCAAGAATGAAAAAAGAAAGCAAAGGCGATCCAGATATTTAAAACCTAAATCCTGGTTACTTGAGATTTAGTAACACGTGTTATACTGCATTTATTGTAATCATCCCAAACAGCAGAAAGTTACTACGTGTGCTAAAGTGGACTAGTTTACTCCTATAGTTATAAATGTGATAAAAAATATCTTGTTCCTTCAATGTACATAGAGTGAATTTTTTCTTATTTGCTTGTATTCCCTGTATTATCCAGTGACTTTCAAACTTTTGTTGACCCAGGGTGTGAAACTATTTTTTTCACAAATTCCACTATACACACTTGTATCTATGTGAAACAAAATTATCAAATGCAATTCTTATACATAGTATGTGCAATATATTCTATTTTATTAATATACTATTTCATTCTGATTCTATTTTTTATTCTCATATTAAAAATACTGTATGTGATATATTTAATCAATTTTACCATGTTGAGCCCTACTTTTAAAAACTTCATAGGTTATGTAGAGTGATCTTTTCAGGGAGTTTCTGATATATTAAAAAAAGAAATATATCTTTTTTAAGTAAATAGAAAGTAAGTTTGTAATCTCCACCAAGTCTGTATTAATCTACTAAGAAATGTAACATTCATTGGTTTTCCAATCTCAGGTAGTTTGATATAGGAGTTTATTGATTTTCCATTAATTTGCATAGACTTTCTATTTTATAATACTTAGGTTATGATTCTTATATATGAATTTAACTTTTATTTCCAGTAATATGATTATAAAGCCTATCTTAACAAAATGTTTCCATCAAAAGGAACTGAAAATGCAGAATTAGATGTTTACAGGTTTTTTAATTCCCAAATTTGCTAACAAGATAATAAAAATCAGTCTAGATTCAAAGTAAGAGCAGTAGCCCAAATGTAAAGCAGGTATATTACTTTTTGTTCTGGAGCATTTGTCCAGCTGATTAATTTCAACTTTGTATTGGACAGAATTGTGCGCAAGGGCCTGAAAGTGAGGAAACAGAAGCCAAGGTCTCAGTCTACTCAAGCAGAAATTTCAATAAGACATTCTCTCTGTCCAGTAAAATTTTAACTTAAAAGTGAAGCCCACAGAGTAAGAGGAAATAAGTAGTAAATCCACATCTTTTCTACTTCGTTTTGATTTTTTTTTTAGATGGAGTCTTGCTCTGTTGCCCAGGCTGGCATGCAA
This sequence comes from Homo sapiens, assembly GCF_000001405.40. Taxonomy (NCBI): domain Eukaryota; kingdom Metazoa; phylum Chordata; class Mammalia; order Primates; family Hominidae; genus Homo; species Homo sapiens. The sequence continues at coordinate 84,282,407 of NC_000013.11, forward strand.
TAGCCTGATCTCAGCTCATTCTACCTACTAGGTTCAAGTGATTCTCCAGCCTCAGTCCCCAAGTAGCTATGGTTAGAGGCACTTGCCACCACGCCCAGCTAATTGTTGTATTTTTTTGTAGAGAAGGGTTTCACCATGTTGGCTAGGCTGGTCTTGAACTCCTGACCTCAAGTGATCGACCTACCTCGCCTCCCAAACTGCTGGGATTACAGGCATGAGCCACCATGTCTGGTCAACATCTCCTCTACTTTTAATGGCTGCAGAGGAGGTATATTTTATTGGCCAAATCAGGGAAGGCAATGCTTAGATGAAAACAAATTAGAAAGTATTAAAAGAACTTGCAAAAGGAAAAAAAATCTTATATGTAAAAAATAAAAATTATAATAATCAAAGTTAAAAACTCAATTGAAAGGTTAATCTACAGCTAATACATTGCTGATAATCATAAGTTAAATGAAAGTTAGGTAAGATGAAATCATTCAAAATGTAGCTCAAAGATGTAAGTGGAGGAACAAATTTAGTTTGATGCAATAAATCAAGGTTTAATTAAATTTAGAAAATATTTGTATTAGTCTGGCTTGTGCTGTCAAAACAGAATACCATGGTTAATTTATAGCTTGTGTGATTTATAATGAGCAGAATTTTTTTCCACAGTTTTGGGGGATGGAAAGTTCAAAATCCAGGTGTTAGCATCTGAAAAGAGGACCTTCTTGTTGCATCATAAAATGGGAGAAGGCGTCATATGGATGAGAAAGGAACAAAACAAAGCTGAACTCATCCTTTTATAGGGAATCCACTCCTGTGGTAACAAATCCACTCTTGCAATAACAGCATTAATTTATTCATAAGGGTGTAGCCCTGATGGTCTAATCACATCTTAAAGGTCCTACCTCTTAAAACTGTTACGAAGACAATTAAATTTTAACATGAGTTTGGGAGGGGCCTTACATTCGAGCCATAGCAATATTCAATGCCTTACATTAATTAATTAAAAGAGAAAATTATAATTTTAAATACTTTCATTTATTATGTATTAAATAACAATTTGATAATATACCTAGTATGCTGTGAATGAAAAACACATTTCTTTAAGGTAATAGAGGTGCAGTAGACAGGGAAATGGTTTTCTCAGATTTCTCTTCAAGGAAGTATTTACTGCCCCTGCTGCTAGGAACGCTCTCAACAGATCACCTGCACCTGTTAGATTCTTCAGTGTTTCTCCTAGCTGCAGAGAGTCTAGTAGCTTGGACATTTAGGGCCTATATTAAAACAACAATAAAACCCTCTGATATACTAATTCTCTCTAGAGGACTCTAATGAATCACACAGTTTGTTGGATTCACATTGCAGTTTGATATCTTCTGCTCAATCCTGTTTTCTCCAACTCTCATTCACTGTATTGACACCTCAGATATCCTGAATATCAAACCCTGTCTCAGGAATTGCATCCAGGGAACCCGATCCGTTACAATAGTATATCTAATAAGACGGCATTCTATAGTAAATATCATGCTGAAACACAAAAAAGTTAAACTTCAAAAATTGTTAAAAACAAACATGCTGTTGGAGATTGTATTAATGGCTCAATTCTCCATTCCTCCCTTTATCCATAACCTTTGCCAGTGAGCTTCCATTCTTCACTAAAGAGGTGGAGTGTTTTTCCCCATAACTTAACCTCAGGTTTGGCTATGTGATTTGCTCTAACCAATAGAACAAGAAAGAAATGATGACATGCCACTGCAAGCCTAAGGTCTTAAGTCCTGGAGCAACCAGTATTACTTTTATTCTTCTTTGAGATAAAGAGTTTAGCCAGTTTTATAAGGAAAAAAATTAGAAAAAAATAAAATTAAATTATTTGTAGATAATATAAGTATATGATAAAATATTAAATATTTTAAAGACTAGCTTGGTGGATACAATAACAATATAAAATTTTATATAGATGCATACCAACAATATTTAATTTAATTTGTTTATTTTGAGAAAGGGTCTCGCTCTGTTGACCAGGCCGGAGTGCAGTGGTGTGATCTTGTCTTACTGCGTTCTCTGCCTCACCAGCTCAAGTAATCCTCCCACTTCAGCCTCTTGAGTAGCTGAAACTAAAGGCATGTGCCACCATGACTGGCTAATTTTTGTATTTTTTGTGGAAACGGGTTTCCACCATGTTGCCCAGGTTGGTTTCAAACTCCTGAGCTCAAGCTATTTGCCCACCTTGGCCTCCCAAAGTGCTGGGATTACAGGTATAAGCCACCACACCCAGCCCCAATAATATTTCTAAATTAAGCAATTTTATTGTATTTAAATATTAAATTTATGAAATTTGTTATGTTTGAAACTATGTTATGAAAATGTGTTATTTTTGAAAGCATTGGAAATGCGGTAGAATTTGGCATATAGTTCATGAAGTTGTAAAAGACCTCTATAAAAAAACTAGTAACTACTGATGAGTTAAAACTTGGAAACTTACAAGGTATTCAATAATTGGAAAATTCTACATTCTCAGCATAAATTTTCTCCAAATTAATCTGTTGATTTAATGTAATCACAAACAAAATCCAAAGAAGTTCATTCAGGAATTTGACCATTGAGAAGTTGATATTATAGAAGCACAAAGGGTCAAAAATAGGCAAGCACCTCTTGAAAAATAATTATGAGATGAGGGAACTTGCTCTATCAGACATCAAGATATATGATGTGGGTGCTATGTTGCTGCAGGTATAAACATGTAGACTAAGGTTGGAGATTTAAAAACTGAAACCATGTGTGTCTATGCACTAGATATATATCCGAAATGGCATTGAAACTCAAGGGGGAATAAACATGTCAATTAATCGTGTTTAAATCACTAAACAATACTGATAAAATAAATTGAATCACTGCTTTTCATCTTACATAAAAAGAAATTCATGGATCAATGAACTAAATAAAAAAGAAAATACATAAAGATTTGAGTAATATAGAAAATATTCTATATTTAATACATAATCTTACTTTCAAAGTAATACCAGTAAGAAATATTTTCCCAACCACATTAGTGACATTTTAGGGCTTCAAATGCCTAGTGTTAAATATGTGACCAGTATGCTAATCTTCGTTTTACTTTAAAGTTGTGTTTAAGATTATAACTGACAAAGCTTTATAAAGTAATTCTTGAATCATCACAAGTATTCATTGTTTTCTAAAAAGGGTAATTGATTCCATTTTTATTATATTACTACTGATGGGTAATTTTCCTATCACACATTGGTGTAGGGTAATGATTAGTTACATCTTAGTAAAACAGAAAAGTGTTTCAAATATCTAGCTTTTCTCAGCTCTAAAATGTCTAATAATATCACAATTTTAGTGTTGAAGAAAAAATATTTTTTGAATCTATCATAATATTTCACATAGTTCTGATTGAATTTTAGCTTTTTCACTAAGCTGCACTCTTCTGGTGGAGACAGTGTGTAAGAATTAGGAAATATGAAGACTCAGTTGTCTTAACCTAATAAGCCTTTTCCTCTCCATGTCAACCAGTATGGAGAGGAACTAAACTATATTAATTAAAATTTAGTGACTACACGAAGTTTTTAATATTTTGAAATACATTTCCCTCCCAAACTCCAAACAATCTTACTCAAAAATCTGTTTTCCTGTTTATTTGATATACCTATCTAGGTAGACCAGTTTAGTAGAAAGAAATGATTCTTTTATTTCTTTTCAATATTAATTATAAATCAGACAACAGAGATCATGTTTTGATAACCAGGCATTTTTCTAAAATTTTCCATTTTTTATCTCAGTGAATCATAATTAAATTTTTAATAGAACTTTTCAAGGACCATATTAATTGTGGTAAAAAACAGACTAATCTGAATTATCAAAGGTTAAATTATTCTAAATCACAAAGCTACTATTAAAGATTTCCAAATAAAAATATGTTCTTGTTATTTTTAATTTTTCAAATGTTTATATTTCCACAATGTAAATTATGTAAATGTTCCAATGAAAAGAAGAAAATAACTGATGTAAATATATTGTTATTGTTAAAATTGGGCTAAACCATAATATTTGTTTTTACCACATAATCTGTTTGGTTTGAACTTCTCAGATATGTTCTAAGATGTTACATTCAAATAAATTATTTATTTAGAACTATTACATGATGTAACAATTATTTTGTCACATTTTATTGAAGATTAAATCATATGGTTGATTAAACATATTAAGAACCAAATGATTAAACACACATATGTATAAGATCTTTGTGGAAGGTAAATTTGGTAGCCAGATGAATTCTCATATGTTGATACATCTTTAAATACACTTAAGAAAAGCACATTGTTTACCTCTCCACTGTTTGATCTCATGTGGAAATAGAAATGACAATAACTGATTTCCAACTGAAATGCTTCTGCTTGGCCTACTCTAAGTTCACTAAGGTGAAAAGGTATCTTGAAGGTAAGCTAGGTGACTTGATTAAACTAATTTAAATATTGAACTTTTTAATACATAAAGAATAAATTAGTTATGTCCCTAGTGCTGTAATAACTCCATGATTAAAAGTTATGGGCATAAGGAAGAGTATTTCATTTTCAATTCATAAAAAACAAATAAATGGTTAGAGTGCATGTAAATTTAAACGTATTGTAATTTAGAAAAAACACAAACCATAAAGAGCCTATGTTGTCTAATAAACAATCCTTAACCATATACACAGAGAAAACTAAGCCAACTATTGTATATTAAATACTAAAATTTCCATTATATTCTAAACAAATTTTCAATATGCAATATATTTTTACTTACATTAATTTAAATGAGAAAGGGCTACATATATATTACAGTAATGAAGTAATATATTTAACACAGCCTTTTGTTATATGAAATCTTCATAAATTATTATTCATTGTATATACACACATGCATATCCACTCATCTATTTATTCAAATAAATATTAATTGAGTACATACCATGTGCCTGACTCTGACGATCTATCAGTACAAAAACTGTCATGATTCTCAAATTTAATGAGTTTAGGGTTTATTTTTATTCCATTGCTTTTTCTGTTTCTTTAAAAAAGGCATGTATGTTCCATTTTTTAAACTTACGAGTCAAAAGCCCAAAGGTTTTTTGTAGATGTGATGAAATTCCCTAATCATTTGACTTTTAAATAGGGAGACTGACTCTACTATACAATGTGGGTATGCCTGGTTTAATCAGTTGAAAGGCCTTAAGAGCAGAGCTGAGGCTTCCTTTGAAAAAAAAAGAAATTCAGTCTATAGACCTTTGAAAAAAAAAAGAAATTCAGTCTGTAAACAGCAGCATTTTAAAAAAATAAACCTCTGTGTGTGTGCTTGTGTGCTTGTGTGTGCTTGTGTGTATGTGTATACATATCACACACCACTGTGTGTGTATCACATGCACATTGCTCACTGTAATATAATCTAAGGGTCAATTTCAGAATCATATATGTGAGATATATATATATGTGTGTAAGATATATATATATATCTCACACACATATATATGATATATATGTCAGAATCATGTGTGTGTACACACATGCATTCATTTTATACATACATATATATTCTATCTTCATTATTTGTGGATTCTGTATTTTTCTATTTGCTCACTGAACTTAATTTATAACCACAAAATTAATAATACTTAAGGTGTTTTCATGGTTATGGACACGTACAGCACAATGAAAAGATCGAATCACCCTGTACCTTCCCAGCTGAGGTTGAACAATGTGTCACTCTGTTTTTTTGTAAGAAGAGAGGACTTGCTTGAATAATAGAAATATTTGGTGAATTGGGTCAGATAACCACACTTTTTATGTAGACTACAGTCTGAATGATTGCAAACTACCTGGGCTAATTGAGTTTCTGGTAATGAAAACATTTGTAACAGGCTTCTACAGCAGGATGGAGTTAATTCCATTAGTTTTTAAGAAATCCGTTTATTCTTTGTGAATGACCAAAACCAAATTAAGTTTTATGTACATTCCTTAGTTCCTGATAATAGGGCCATTTCCACTATATCATTATATGGAATACCATATTCCATATTCCTATTATAATTATTTTTAATAGTGAACAATACTCTTATTTTAGAGTCTAGAGATGAAGTGAAAATAAGTAAGTGGAAAAAAAAGGAAGAAAAACAAAACTCCTGCATGGTATTACCTGATCAACCTAATCAACTGATTTTGTTGTCTAAGAAATCTCCTTTTGAAAAATAGAAAAAAAAATACTAAGAAGATCTTCCAAAACCACATAAATGAAAAATAAACAATTTCCTACTGAATGACTTTTGAGTAAACAGTAAAATTAAGGCAGTAATCAAAAAGTCTTAGAAGTATTTGAAAACAGACACAACATACCAAAGTCTCTGGGATGCAACAAAATCAGGGTTAAAAGGAAAGGTTATAGCACTAAGTGCCTACCACAAAATGTTAGAAATAACTCAAAATAATGACTAACATTACATCTGGAAGAACTAGAAAAACAAAAATAAACTAACCCCAAAGCAAGCAGAAGAAAAGAAATAGCAAAATCGCAGTGGAGCTGAATGAAATTGAGACCCAAAATTTTATACAAAGAATCAATGAAACAAAAAGTTGGTTACTGGAAAAAATAAAGAAGATCAATAGACTGCTAGTGAGATTAACAAAGTAAAAAAAAGAGTGAAATAAGCCCAATCAGAAATGACAAAGATGACATTAGAACCAATCCAACAGAAATACAAAATATTCTCAAAGATATGAACATTTCTACATGCACAAACTAAACTTAGAGGAAATGGATATATTCCTGGAAACAGACAACCTTCCAAGATTGAATTAGGAATAAACTGAAACCCTTAACAGACCATTATCAAGTTCCAAAATTGAGCCAGTCATTACAAACTTATCAACCAAAGTCCCACATCAGAGAGACTTATAGCCTAATTCTACCACAGTGAAAATAAGAGATAGTATCAATTCTACTAAAACTATTCCAGAAAATCGAGAAGCGGCTCCTCCCTAATTCATTCTATGAAGCCAGCATCACCCTGATATCAAAAGCTGGTAAAGACACAATAAAAAAGAAAACTACAGGCAAATATCCCTGAATAAACGTAGACACAAAAATCCTCAACAAAACAGTAGCAAACCAAATCCAGTGGCACCTCAAAAATTAATTCACCTACAATTAAGTAGGCCTGAGATACAAAGCTGGTTCAACATATGCAAATAAATATATGCAATTCACTATAAAAACAGAATTAAAAGCAAAAACTGTAGGATCATCTCATGAAACATGGGAAAGGTCTTTAATAAAATCCAGCATCTTTTTATGATAAGAACCATTAAAAAACTAGGCATCAAAGGAACATTCTTCAAAATAATAAGAGCCCTGTATGACAAATCCACAGCCAGTATCATACTGAATGGTCAACAGCAGGAAGAATTTCCCTTGAGAACTGAAACAAGATGGCAATGCCCACTCTCATCACTCCTATTTAATACAGGACTGAAAGTCCTAACCAGAACCATCAGTCAAAAGAAAGAAAGAAAAGATATTCAAACAAGAAAAATAAGAAGTCAAACTATCTCTCTTCTCCAAAAATATGATTCTATAAGTAGTAAACCCTAAAGACCTTTCCAGAAGCCTCCTGGAACTGATAAACAACTTCAGTAAAGTATCGGGATACACAATAAATGTACAAAAAGCAAGAGAATTTATACACAAGAACGTTTAAACTGAGAGCCAAATTAAGAATGCAATTCCATTCACAATAACCACAAAGAAACACCTAGGAATACATCTGAACAAAATGGTGAAACCTTTCTACAAGGAGAACTACAAAGCACTGCTCAAAGAAATCATAGACGACACAAACAAATGGAAAAACATTCCGTGCTCATGGATTGGAAGAATCAAGAGTGGGCCATTGTTAAAATGGCCATACTGCAGGGCTACACTAACTAAAACAGCATGGTCTGGTACAAAATAAGACACATAGACCAATGGAACAGAATAGAAAACCCCAAAATAAACCTGTATACCTACAGTCATCTTTCACAAAGTTGGCAAAAATAAGCAATGGGGAGAGAATTCCCAGACAGCTGGGATTGCTGGCTAGCTATACGCAGAAGAATGAAACGAGCCAACTACCTTTCACCAAATACAAAAATTAACTCAAGATGGATTAAAGATTTGAATGTTAGACCTAAAACTATAAGAATCCTGGAAGAAAATGTAGAAAACACCATTAGAAACGTCCACCTCGGGAATTTATGATTCAGTCCTCAAAAACAATGGCAACAAGCCAAAAATTGACAAATGGAACCTAATTAAACTAAAGATCCTCTGCTCAGCAAAAGAAACCAGCAATAGAATAAACATGCTACAGAACAGGAGAAAATATTTGCAAACTGTGTATCTGACAAAGGTCTAATATCCAGAATCTAAAAGAAACTTAAACAAATCAACACCAAAAAAACAGGTAACCCCATTAAAAAGTGTGCAATAGACACACAAAGACACTTCTCAAAAGAAAACATACAAGCAGCAAAAATATATATATATGAAAAATGCTTATCATCACTAATCATCAGAAAAAAGCAAATTAAAAACCACAGTGAGATACCATCTCACACAAGTCAGAATGGCTATTATAAAAAGTCAAAAAATAACATGGTGATGAGGCTATGGAGAAAAGGGAACACTTAGGCATTGTTGGTTAGAAGACAACATAGTTCAGCTGTTGTGGAAAACAGTATGGAGAGTTCTCAAATAAGTAAAGATGGAAGGACCATTTGACCCAGTAATTCTATTCCTGGGCATATAACCATAGGAATATAAATCGTTCTATCAAAAAACACACATGCACTCATATGTTCATTGTAGCACCACACACCATAGCAAAGACATGGAATCAACCTAGGTGCCTATCGGTGGTGGATTGGATAAAGAAAATGTGGTGCATATACCCCATGATATACTACACAGCCATAAAAAGGAATGAAATTATATCTTTTGCATTAACATGGAGGCATCTGGGGGCCATTTTCTTGAGGGAATTAATGCAGTAACCAAAAACCATACACTGCATATTTTCACAAGTGAGAGCTGCTTTGAGTACTCATGGATATAAAGATGGGAAAAAAAGACACCAGGGACTACTAGAAAGGGGAGGAATGGAAAGGGTATCATCTGTACCCCAAACCTCAGCATCACATACTATACCCATGTAACAAACCTGCACATGTACTCACTGAATCTAAAATAAAAGTTGAAGTTATTTTAAAAAATAAAAAATAAAGATAAGTCTATGTAATAGCATGTTAATATGCTCATTTTTATGTTTATTTTAGACTTAATCTAATAATTGAAATTTATGTAGATAAATTACTAAAAGTCATAATTACTTAATTTGATAGCATGAGTTCGAATATAGATTATTATTGACTACGAATGATAGCAATTCCGAATTGGAAGGAACACAGGTAAATGGAAGCATCTTTTATCTAGATTTTCACTGTCTAATACCGTCACAAACCTCATGAGACCATAAATTTAAGTTACTTAAAATTAAATAAACTTAAATATTCAGTTCCTCAGCTATACCAGCTACATTTTTAATACAAAGACTCGCATATACTAGACAGATAATATCGATTCGTTGTGAAGTTGAATGATGAGGAAGAGAGCATATTCAGATTTCTGTAATTAGGCCTTAGTGTAAATGGATGAGATTATCCTAAACATCAGAGTTTATATTGAGAGTTTTAATCTCTTTAAATCTAAGAGCTAACTTAGGTCATACCAAGACATTGATATTTTTTAATCATTTGCTGAAAAAAAATTAGTTGCATTTCCCCGTGCTTCTTTTTCTATGCCCAGTTGAATCTCAGTGAATTGAAACCGCTGATCATACATCTGAGGCATCCAAGGGAGCTCTTCAGAAGCCCCTGTTTACCCATTGTAGCCAAATGTTCACAAGCTATCTATTCAAAAAACATCGTTGTTGAGAATAAAGTAATTTTTTATGGCATATGAGGCTAGACAAGGAGAGACAGGTGAGATATATTGAATTTTATTCAATTAATTTTGCTGGTATTCCAAGAACTGTACTAATCCTTAAGAATACAAAAGCAAAAAGTCATTTAACAACATTCAAGAAGTCCTCTGTCTTAAACAGTGGTTTTCAAACAGTATGGCAAAGCATGACCCAGTATAATGGTGTTTCTTGAACTCTTTTCAGTCAAGTGCCAAATTTTGAAGGATGTGTAACATGTATTTTGATTTTAAACTCTATACACCTGTTTTATGACCACATCTGTCAGGCTGAATGCTACACTATTTGCTGAGCAAGGTATAACTTGCTTTGAGTCAGAGGTAAGAGATGAAGCATAAAATTAAGTGAATGTCCCAGAAAGTGTTTTCTGGGACATTCAAGCACTTGGCCCCATGAGAACATGAGAGAGGTTATTCAGGGAAGTAAACATCTCTTTCTAAAAGAAAGATGGTGTTCATGGCACATGTATACCACTGTAACAAACCTGCATGTTCTGCACATGTATCCCAGAACTTAAAGTGTAATAAAAAGAAAAAAAAAGAAACATGGTGTTGAATAGCTAACATTAAATAGTGCAGTAACTGCATTATTTTATAGACACTCTCAAATGTTGCATTGTAGAAATGTTGTTATATTTTTACTGACTTGTGGGTAATATCTTTTTTAGTCTTAATTTTGCCAAATGTGCTGCCAAATTTTTAGTAGAATATTTATAAGTAACCCATAAATATAAAAATCATAGGAAACACAGACATATGAATACAACCATAAAATGCAATTATATATATATACATCTAATATATATGTTATCATAGACATACACTGAATATATACATATGTTTATAATATGCATGCATCTAATGTATACATATAATGTTATCATACACATACTTATATATACATATATGTTTATTATATAATAAATATATATTAGATGTATGTGTATGATAACAATCTTGAGAATCAGAGAGAGCATAATAAAAGAGGTAATATCAATGTTCTACATGGATAATAATCTATACATTTCTTTAAAAGAGGTAGCAAATGATTAGAAATGAAATTGAAAGACCAGTATTGCTTTTGTATGAGTATAATTTGTAATGTGAGGGTGCTAGGGACATGAGAAATGAGGCTGCAGAGATAAGCATGGAGCTGACCATGATATACCCTGAATACTGTGCCAAAGAATTCTGTGTATTCAAAGAGCTGATGAAGAGATTTTAATTGAAAAATGAGTATAAATTATGAAACAATAATTTAGATTTGATGGACTCAGCATGGTGAAGATTTTGAGTGAGCATTTTGCAACAGCTTATGGAATAAAAAATTCTGTGATGCTATATATTGTAAAGATGGAAAGTTTCATGCTAACTTAATAAGTTTTTTCCACAAAGGTCCTAAAAGAAAAAATAAGTTTGCAACTTTTGTCTTCTACTCATTAATAAAGTTATATTCAAGCCTATAGTAGACTGTAGAATTGTATTAGCTATGACAACCAAATATTATCACAATAGAGCAGGCAGTTAACTAAGTGGTTGAAGATAGTTCCAGTTCTCAATGTCCACCTTACCCATAGTAGGTATCTTAAAGCCTGACCTGAAGGATAAGCTATCTTTGGTCATAATCAACCCTGCTTTTCCCCAATATTAGAGGTGTCTCAATGGCATATCAAGTTTTGCGGGGTGGTTGTTTCACCCTCTCTAATGGTCAATTTTTTTCTGTCTTTTTGTTTGATGACCATTCGCTACAACATTTTATAGTATAACAGCTACACAGCAGTATTTACAACAGTGGAAATTACACACCTAAATAGTGTAACACATGAAAAATCAGAACAATTATCATAGTTTATAGTCTACTTCTAAGCCAGTAACCAGGAATTCCCCCAATCAAATCAGATGCATAGATTCTATTCTCAATCCAAAGTGACCTCAGAGTCAGATATAGTTATATTATCCAGATTACCTAATTATTTTGTTTGTTTTTTTCCCAGACATTTTGTTTCTTTCCCAGGTCTTTCATATTAAAGATACTAGAAAGAGATGCATGGATATGGGCACAGAACTCTGCCTAAAACATGCTATGTTCTTTCTTGAGATGCCAATATACTAGCTAAAAAGGCTCCATACTGAATCATTGCCAATTCACTTTTATGTGCAAGTGCATTATTTCGTACACTTTTTCTTTTCTAACATATATCATGGACAATATTCCCATCCTCTGGGCTTCCTTTAAAGCACAGAGTGAAGAGGCTTGAAGAGAGAGGAAAATAGTCTAGAATTCCCTTGGAGGGGTTAGAGTTTCATTTCTGAATACGAGGCTGAGTGTTGTAATGATATGGCACTGCTCATCTGGAATGTTATGACCGCAGGAAATAAAAAGTTTTAGTATCAAGATAAATAGATAGATTTAAAGCAAAAAAGAAGTAGTGCTTCTTGCTCATAGAATCAGTAAAAGGGAGATAAGTCTCCAAATATACACCATCTGTTCTCTAATCCTCCTCCAAGTTTTATTTCTATGAAAGTTCATTTGCCAACAAGCTAAAAAAATCTAGCTCCTATGAAAGGTTCTAGAGTAGTGTTTTGAAGGAGACAAGAGCTTCTTTTTCTAATTTTGAAGCAATAGAGAATTTTAGATTTCTGGCTGTTTGGCCTGTTGGGGGGTATGCTATTTAAAAGTTACCTAATGTTTGAGTTAGTTACCCAGGAAACCAACTAATTTATCACAAGTAAATTATACCAAGGTAAGTTAGGTGGCTCCTGAAGGAAAACCAATACATCAGTCCATTTTATTGTATTCTCTAGCTAGTTCACAAATAAATTGTGTCCTGGTATTGAACTCATAATAAAGAGTAACTAAAGATACAAAAAAGTATTAAGAATGGAGGCCTTTTATTTATTTATTTTTTTAGATAACATACTTAAGAGTGGGCTTAAACCAGCAAAAGAGGAAAGAAAATAGCTAGGAAAATAAAACAAAAATAAAGTCTAAGAGTGGTAGTCTGTCTTGTTTCATGTACCTTGGGCAACCACTGTCTACATCTCAAAAAGCAAAGTATTTGATTCAAAAGTCATGGGAGAAGCTATCTTTTTATGGAAACTGGTTTCAGAAGGATCCTGACTTCTCAAATTGAGGTCTCTGGGTGGGACCATCTTCCAGTGATTTGAGGATGGTTTTGTTGTTTTTGTTGAGATATGAATTATAAATGTCAATTCTTTGGAGTTTCACTGCTCAGATAGCTAATAGTATCTGATAGAAGTCTTTCCATCAGTGTTTAAGAAATGTGATTTTCTACTGCCTCATCCAAAAGACCAGATATTCAGGGAATAAGTTTTGCATAGATGATTTAGGAGGACGTTGAGGAATGGCTGCCTATGCCTATTGATAAGAATGGGTGCATTGCATTAGTCTTTCAAAATATGTGGCCATGTCTGCTGGTATAAATATGGAGTTTAGAATAGATGGTATTGCTAGGTATATGGTTATCAAATTATAATGGGAAATTTGAAGCATTTTGTAAAATAATAAGAAATACATATATTGGACTCTGCCCCGAGTTGTTGAGAGTTCTTAAGACCTTTGTAATTTCCTGAATATAGGGCCATCTGACACAAAGCTTCTAAATCTCTTGGAATTTCCCAGGTAATAAGAGCGTCTTTTGTTATAATTAAGCCATACTTTTTGGGATCTTGGATAGCTTCAGGGTGGAGGCTAGCTGTTAGGGGATCCAAACATTTGATTAAAGGATTGGGACTTTCAGCCCCAACTATGACCTGTAGGGAGGGGAAAAGGACTGAAGGCTGGGTTTATCACCAATTGTCAATGATTTAATTAATCGTTGTCTAGTTTCCTGTGCACCTTAAGTCTCTGCATTGTCCCCACCTACTTCCTGCCCCAGATTTATGGGAGTCTCCCTTACTGCTAGTTGATGAATGCTGGGGGCCAGCTCTTGGATATGAATCCTACCTAATGGCAACATTGCTCATTGCTGCCACTCAGGAAAATCATATAGCAGTTAAATCTGTACTTACTGCACCTGCGTATGTGTTAGGAATTTCCCCATTGGCCTCTCTCCCTCCTTATCAGCATGTAGCTAACAACATTCTGATAGTGTGACTGCAGAATAAGTGATTATTGAGCTTCTTACAAGGTGCTCTGGGGCATTCCTTTCTGCTTAGGTATTTCCCCTCCTCTCTGCTTATATCTGGCATGCATGTTTCCAGTGGTCCCTGGGGTGTTAGATTTTCCAGAGCTTCCTTTCTCATGGGCTCCCCCTTCCTGTTCATGTCTAGGTATCTGCCTACTCTGATAATAACTCATTTCAAGAGAAACGTATTAAAAATCTATTTGGAGACATTTGAAATGGTTCTGAGGTTTAGGCTTCTGTATGTCACACCTTAAAAATTTATCAGGATTATCATGGTAACAGATACACCCGAAACAGATTTAGAAGTTTTAGCATAAATGTTTATCAACAAAATTTGTTGGGCAATTTGTCCTTGCAGTGGTGGCAATTTTGTATAAAATGTTTTCAAGGCTCCACCTGAGATCCTCCAGTGCAACACAGCAGCCAATTTAAGGGTGCCAAAGATTAGTCTCTTGCTTGACATTGTAATTTCTCCCAGTATGTTTTCTAATAGGAGATAATTATGGGGATTTAAAATTTTCTCTTTAAACCTCTCCAAAGATTTGTCTTCTTGATATGTTATAAGTACTAGGATCTTATCATGAGAGTCTGTCTGGAGAAATAATCATACAGAAAATTTCCTTTAGCTTCTCTACATCTATCCTTTTCTTCATGAGTTTCAACATTTATAATAGCCATCACCATAGAATGTATTAGGGCATGCAAGGTTCATTTAATATGCTAATCATTCTTCATTGGGTCACTGCTGAGGTCAGGGAATTTTGTTGTTTCCAATAGTTTCTGAAATTATGTATCACCACAAAAGAATCTTCCATTATCAGTGTATACATAAGTCCTCTTATCTCCAGCTAACTATCAAACCCTAGAGAGCTTGATTTATTTCTGCCATCTTGGCAGAATTTTCCTATGAGGTAATTTTTCTATGTTACAGCTTTAATATTCTCCTTTTTCATTCTTAAGGTATGACCCAGCCACAGAAAATTTTTGACTTAATTTTCCAAAGGGATTTCTAGTAAGTCTGAGTGGTGTTTTTTTGTTTTTATTTTGGATTGATAGGATAGTATTAGGAAGATTGAGATAAAATGCGAATTCCTTTTCTACCAGTCTTTGACTGTTGGTTTTAACTTCTTATTTGAAAAGGTATAGCTGATAATTTTAAAAAGTACCATCCTTTAAAAAAAATTTAAAAGTTATTTATTTATTTGCTTCTAGTTTTAAAGAGTATAATACAAGTTTCAGTAGAGGATTTTTTGGGTCGATCTGAACCTTCATGGGTTCAGCACCAATAATTCTACCTATGGCATGACATTTTTGCCTACACATTACTTAGCATATTCTTCAGATCTTCAGTTTGGGTTTAATATAGACACAAAGGTACCTCTAAGTAAATGTCCAAATTAGATATGACCATTTATGAATGGGAGAGTTCTCAAATTCAAGAAAGGACATTAAAAAGGAAAATTTTATTTATACTGTAAGTTATTCCCTATTAAGTTAATGGTTGTGATGTAACAGAGGAAGAAAAACCCCCTGGTTCAGGTGTGAGCATGAAAGAAAGGATATAGGGAATGTCTGAGAATTATTAGAGATTACTAGTTCCTGAGTAGTTTGTTGACTCTGAGAAAAAGTTTGTGTAACAGTTGTAAGGTTAATGTCAGTATCATAGCATCATATCAACTCTTTTTTTTTTTTTTGCACACCTGATCTTTAGTATTTAAAGAAATTTGTGTGTGTATGTAAGTTTAAGGGCAATGTGGGAAATTGAGTGCTTGATCTGTCCTCAGTACCTTCCGTGATTATTGGAATTTTTTCTTCCAGTTTCTCAGCTCATGTAGACCTATTTTGTTCAAAATCCTTTCTCTTTAAAGTATCTAAATGTATCTTTATCAAGATACTCCCTCCTTTGATGCTTAATTCCTGGAGTAGAAGTAGCTAATTGTTTTATCAGAAAGGCCAGCAATTTATGCTGAGTCTTAATCTGTTTTGGAATCAAGGACCTGTTCAGTGAGATAATGGAGGCCTGGTAATTACTAAGTTTTATTTACAATAATAATCTAAAAAATATATTTTTACGACTGCATAAACAGAATTTTAGAAAATATTATAAACACTGATGCAGACATACAAGGCTTTTTTCCCTAATATTTTTTATATTTAAAACTGTTCTTCACAGGTCCATGTTTCTGTACCTTACCATATTGTGAATACGTTAGTGTTCACGATACATTGCAATGTTGTGGGGTTTTTTTGTTTGTTTTCTTTTGTTTTTTTTTTTGAGACGGAGTCTCGCTCTGTCTCCCAGGCTGGAGTGCAGTGGCGCGATCTCGGCTGACTGCAAGCTCCGCCTCCCGGGTTCACACCATTCTCCTTCCTCAGCCTCCTGTAGCTGGGACTACAGGCACCCGCCACCAAGCACGGCTAATTTTTTTTTTTTTTTTTTTGCATTTTTTTCTTTTTCTTTTTTTTTTTAATTTTTTTTTTTATTATACTTTAAGTTTTAGGGTACATGTGCACATTGTGCAGGTTAGTTACATATGTATACATGTGCCATGCTGGTGCGCTGCACCCACTAACTCGTCATCTAGCATTAGGTATATCTCCCAATGCTATCCCTCCCCCCTCCCCCCACCCCACCACAGTCCCCAGAGTGTGATATTCCCCTTCCTGTGTCCATGTGATCTCATTGTTCAATTCCCACCTATGAGTGAGAATATGCGGTTAGTAGAGACGGGGTTTCACTGTGTTAGCCAGGATGGTCTCGGTCTCCTGACCTCGTGATCCGCCCGCCTCGGCCTCCCAAAGTGCTGAGATTACAGGCGTGAGCCACTGCAATGTTTTTTAAACTGTGACTACACTTGTTTATCATAAAAAGAAAAACAGAGATTCATGCCCAACTGCCTAACTAAACATAAGAAAGGAATATATTTGAAATTCAGCATGTTGCATATAGTAAGGGCAAATATATATCACGCAAGTTATGTAAGATATACTTATTCTTCAGGAATGTAAAGAAAGTTGGAAAGCCAGTTATCTACTACACATTCACTTAATATGATGCTCTGTTAAATGACTTTTTTCCTGTATATTTTATTTTATTTTATTTTTTGAGACGGGGAGTCTCGCTGTGTCACCAGGCTGGAGTGCAGTGGCGCGATCCATCTCTGCTCACTCAACCTCCGCCTCCCGGTCCAAGCATTCTCCTGCCTCAGCCTCATGAGTAGCTGGGATTACAGGCTCCTGCTACAATGCCAGGCTAGTTTTTGTATTTTTTAGTAAAGACGACATTTCACTTTGTTGGCCAGGCTGATCTAAAACTCCTGACTTCAAATTATTCACCTGCCTCGGCCTCCCAAAGTGCTGGGATTATAGGCGTGAGCCACCACACCTGGCCGATTTTTTTTTTCTTTCAAATAAAAAATCAATTCAATATAATTGTAGCTAAATTAATATAGACTCCATCAAACATAGTACCTATACTTTGATCATTCTCTGATGATTATTATCCAAAGTATCACATTTATAACTCAACCTAAAGGATGTACTTACTTGGGGTAAATAGCTGTACTTAGAAGTCATATTCCCATTGTGTCAGTAAAATCAGGGAGAGATTTTTACAGCAGATAGCCTAAGAATGTTTTTGGCCTCATGCTGAAGATTTTTTGTAAACCTCAGTCTGCCTAAAAACTGGCATTGCTTCTATTTCTATATCAAAGTAAAAGTATCCATAGCTTGGAGATAGGCACAAGAGATCTGTGGGTGTTATTTCAGAGCAGTGCTAACCTTGCATCTTTGATGGACTTTTCCATTGACTAGGCTGTATTATAATTCTGTATGGATAGAGTTTAATTTGTGGGTTTTTTGTTAGTGGAGGTCCAAATCACTTCTAAGTGCAAAACATAACCCAAAGTTTGTGATTTATTGCCATATTGGACATTGACCAGTTTGTATCTATCTTAGAATTCTTATATGATCATTCTTTTATCAAATTACCTGTTAGATACATAGATTCTGAAATATTCGAAAAGGCACTAAAAACTTATTGGCTCCTTCTTTAACTGATAAAGTAAATAAAATGTTTTACATGCATTTATTTTATATATATAGAAACTATTTTACATACATTTTGGAAATAATTTAACACTTTAAGTCAGTGAATTTTCAGCGTTTGTTTGTTCAAATACAAATTAGATTATATATTCCTTAGTGATTTCTTCTTAGTTCTTGTGGATATCAAACTTCTGTCTTCTTTGTTGACAGTCCAGTTTTCATGGTTGCTACTACTCTAGATTCTGTAGATGTGCTAAGAGTAAAGACAAATGGCATCAGTCAGGTCAACACCATATGAGATGTATTTTGACATTTGCATTGTTAGTGTGTTCCCTTTCCATAAAAACTAATCTGCATCAAAGACATTCTAAGAAAAAAATCCCACTAAAAATAATTATATAGCGTATGAATATGTCGTTACACATGGGGATAGCATCTTGTGCCAACTAACGTTGTCTGAAATATTGATCATGGCTCTCTTGAATTTCTAGTTCCCACCAGATAAAGGATATGGTGTCAAAATTTAACAGGATGTTAGTCCTAAAATAATCTCATTAACATAAATCATTTTGGCAGTGAATGATAAGGGCTTTCCTTAAACTTTTCAAATATAATAGATTATTGTAAAGGATATATTGCATTAAAACAACTGAGAAAATGATCTGCTGAACTGGAAGCAACACCAAAAAAAAATATATAGACACTTTTTTTGCTAAAATGGAAAAAGTATGAACTTTGAAAGCAAATGGAAAGAATTCCATGCCCAATTAATTTTTATCATTATTTTTCGAAAAGAGATAATAAAATTCATGTTATTCATTTTGTTAAAAAGTTATAAGGGCAAACTCCAAGTGAAGCAAAATATGTGAAAGTCTTGTTTAATGATAAGATTTACACACGTTAAAGAGTTTACTAAGTATACGTGTGCATGCAATATAATATTGTAATGCAATATAATGTTATGCCTAAGTGTATTATTACATTGCCCTACAACTGGATAGTTTGCATGAAGCATGGTATCCATCTATAGTAAACTTGCTCAAGACTAGAGTTACAAAAACTACAAAAATATCACTGACCATAGTAGATCAAAATAAAAAATGATCTGTTGAAAAAAAAACATACATGACTTCCTGGAAATCTATTTTGTTAAGAGTCTTTTTATATTGCTAGGTTATGACTAGAACAAAATGAAATAATTTTCTCTGCTACTGGTTTATGTTTAACATCTAAATTCACAAATTTCTTTCATTATTGTTTTAAAAATAATGATAATTTTGTATATTGGCATAAGATTTTCATTTTGAAAAAAATTAACAGGCATTATGCCATAAATTTTCATGACTCTAGAAAGTATCAAGTCAATAATCAGTACATTCATATAATGTGGAAGTAAGTAGGTATAGGGAGGTTAAGTGAATTAAGGAATATAAGTGCTATACAAGTGAAAACTCCCAAAGCCTGTATATTTAATATTCTGAAAAATAAAGTAGATTCTTATAAAACAGAAACTGTGATATTTATCTTTTGTGTTATTCTTGGCTCTTAGAAGAGTACTACCAACTTAACAGCACAATAAATAAGTGTTGAAGATGAACCAAACAAAAATAACATAGCATACAAATATTTAGGTGATGATATTATCTGGCTCTGTGTCCCCACCGAAATCTCATCTTGAACTATAATCTGAATTGTAATTCTCACATGTTGGGGAAGGGAGCTTGTGGGAGGTGATTAGATCATGAGGGACATTCCCCTATGCTATTCTGATGATAGTGAGTTCTCACGAGACCTGATGGTTTTATAGGGCACTTTTGCCCTTCACTCTGCACTTCTCTCTTGCCCTCCTGCCACCATGTGAAGAAGGACGTGTTTGCTTCCCCTTTCACCATGATTGTAAGTTTGCTGAGGCCTCCCCAGCCATGCCGAACTGAGCCAATTAAATCTCTTTCCTTTATAAATTACCCAGTCTTGGGTATTTCTTTATAGCAGCATGAGAACAGACTAATACAGGTGATTAGAATTTAGTGTAAAGAAAAGTTTATAAAACAAAATAGATAAGTCAAATATGTAGTAGAAAATTTACCTTTCATTGTACAGTTTTGAGTCATTTTATTTATAATCCAACATTTTATGCTATATTTGTATACATGTGTATGTGTATATACATACACAAACACACAGTAATCATAATAATTAATGGAAAGTTTCTTCTAAGGTGCTGCAATAACTTGAATTACCCAAGAAATATGATTGTATTGATTTTCTTATCAAAAACTTCCTTTCAAGAAAATACTGCATTTGAAGACTACAAAATACTGTGGTTTCATTAGCAAATTTTACAATGTTATGCCAGATATACTGGGTGGTATGTGGCCACCCTAAAGAGACAAGATGAACACCTATGCAAAATGAGTTCAACATAGACACAGATGACACCACACACACCAAGCAGGTATGAAGAATTTTAATATTTTCATAGTGAGGCTTTTCTGGTGAGGACAGGGTATATATCCCAAGCAGTCCAAAAATGGCTTGAGACATCAGGGAAAGGAGACTGGTTTGGAGGCTTTTTGTTGTGGTTAGGCAGAGGATTACATGATTGGAATTTCCTGCAGGTGCCAAAAGAGTAAGAACTTGGGGTTTCTTATAAGCTTGATCAGATGTGGGGCAGAAGGGGAAAAGGAAGGTGTGAGTTTTAAGAGCGGTCCATAGTCAGACATGAAAAATAAAAACTGGAGTTAGATTCCATATGATGGGAGACAATAGAGTGTTAGTGTTAGTAATACTGCCTTGGCAATTTTTATCAACTCTCCTTGAAGGTTTTCAGGTTTCAGTTTGAATGCTCAGCCCCAAATTCTGACTTTTCTCTGACATGGACTCTGTGATTTTGAAAATTTACACAATCTCTCTGTGCTTATTTTCTTTTCTCTTTAATAGTGCAACCCAGTACGTTATTGTGAGAAGTAAAAATAACCTAACCATGCATATGACCAATAATGAGTATCTGGAAATTATTAACTATTATATTTATGACTAGAAAAATAAATTCAATGTTATATTTTGAACAATTTTAGCTATTTTAATGAGAGAAATAAATAAATGCAATTATACATGGCAATATACAGCATTTTCATTGTGGTCCTGACCTTTTGCACTGACAAGGATGCTATACATGTTACAGATGTCTTATAGGGCAGCAGATACAGCCAGTTTTCTAGGGCGCACAGCTCTTATTTTTTTCCCCTTACTTAGACGGGCTGATTTTTCCAATGTGCACAATAACTTACATTTAGAATTTTTTAAGGAATACTGCTAATAAGAAAAACAGTACATTAATCAAATAACAAATATATAAACTAAGTATTTTTGTTTCTTTAGGTGAAGATATTGTTGTATTTCTTTGTGGAGCAGGTTAACCTTTAGTTAGCTAACATATTTAATGAAAGATACCAAATATCTGTATTATTAAATTCATGTAATTAATTTTGTTTCGACAACATACAAGTGAAAGGTTATTCCCTAGATTTGTTTTTCCTTTTCTCTTATTTTTCGCTTGTGTAACTTCCTTTCTAATTGTCATGTGATTATATCTCACAGA
This sequence comes from Homo sapiens, assembly GCF_000001405.40. Classification (NCBI taxonomy): domain Eukaryota; kingdom Metazoa; phylum Chordata; class Mammalia; order Primates; family Hominidae; genus Homo; species Homo sapiens. The sequence goes on from NC_000013.11 coordinate 84,304,259, forward strand.
CATTGTATGCCTGTTACAATCCATTCTGTATTTGCCAAATGTTTTAAGAAGTGATACTTTTTAGTTTGTCCCATTGTGCTACCAAGCTCAATTAGAAAAATTATAGTCACAATTGTTGATTTAAAAAGAGTCTTCGAAAAAGTTGAACCTCTTAAAATTATTGGGAGAGTTAACTTATGAAACATGTTTTGAAGATTGATGCATAATAAATGCTCAACAAATGTTATGCATTATTTAATATTGGAAGAAAAGATATACACTAGATATACACTATTTTAAAAGTTGTTTAGATAATTCTGAAGGTGTATAGTTTTGATTTTAATATTATGCTTTGGATCACTAAAAATAAAACAGTAACTTTATATCTCTAACTAAGTATATAAAAAGATAGAATTTAGTAAAATATGTTCAGGAATCATGTCCAAATCAAAATGAAGATAAATAAATAGCCTGTCCAACTTTGTTCTTATAAGTGGTAGAGAAGGGGTTAATTTAGAAATGAGATTATAATTGTAACATCGCAATAGGGTACCCTTGAAAGGAGAAGGGACCTACTGGAGGCCATTGTACAATTGATGCATATTCTATTGTTATAAGAAAAAAAGGTGAGAAAACATAATAAAAATATCATTTTTCTAAAATGGCACAAGATTCATAAAACCTGTTGGGTTTTAAATGCAAGGTGCTGGCAAATTCATAGCATGAATACATACCCATCCTTAGAGGGAATGGAGGACGGAAATTTCAGAATTATCAACAATAGCCTAGAATCTGCTCAGACTGATTATTCAGGAAAGCTAAAAGTGAACAATTATGGAATTTCCCCAGAAGGCAATGATCTACAAACCCACAGAATACTTGAACAAAACAGTGGCCACTGGGACATGTTACCAAAATTGTCTTAGGCGTCTTGTTCATGACTTATTAAGATAAGTTTGTGCTTTCTTAAACCTAAGAAAAATATTTAACAGGGCTTTCTGGCTAAAATTCCATATATATTTCATCATTACAGTACCAGAAATAGAAAAGTAAATGGAACAATGGAAAATAAGGACGTTAACATGTTGTTGGCTATACCTGAAAGATGAAAATCTCAGAGAGTGTTGAAGACTGGGGATGCACATTGTAAATTTGTTTAAGAAAATATTAATTCCATGCTACCTCTTAAGAAAGAACATAATATTTTGCAGCCCAAAAATTATATGTATGTATGTATGTATGTATGTTATCTGTCTGTCTGTCTGTCTATCTTCTATCTATCTATCGATCTTTCATCTATGTTCTTTATGCTTTTGGGAGACAATTCTCCATGGATCTCTGACCTTTCCACACATATTGTGACAGAAAAACTGACTGTGCTTTATTCCAAACTAACTTTATGAGGGATGTCTTATGGCAAACAGCATTGAAAGATAAAGTCTCCCTTCAAAGCAAAAGGCATGTTTGCTTAAATCCTTGAAAAACATAGTGCCCTCTCAGATGCAAATGGCAAGCATGCTTAATCTTCACTGTAAAAACTATAGGTTCCCTAAGTTCAAGGTTCCTCTTATATAACCCAATCCACTGTTTGTGCTAGTATCAACTGGCTTTCTTTCTGTCACCCTGTGAGAATTGGGGCTTGGGGAACCGGTATAAAAAATGCTGATACTCTAGCCATTGCTATTGCTCTAAATATACTCTTTTGACCTAGGAATCTTATGTCTTCTGCCCAAATCCATAAAACTGTGGCAGGCTAATTTGCTAGGCTATAAGTAAGATAAAGCCTCAAACCCTTACCAGTCTTACATGTACTGGATATGGCATTGAGAATAATTTTTTGTGTAAATAACTGTTGCAATGCATAGGGATTGTCTTGTGTTTTTGGTGTTTTCAAGCTTATGGATACTGATGTGATAATTACACAGTACCTAATGGCTCTTTGTACTATTTGTAGGCGAGGTTATCCTGAGAGATTTCTAGTTATATTAATCCAAATTTTGGAAATGTTATAGTAACTACACACATTCTAATTTAGCTGGTCTCAAGAGATACACAATAAAGCAGAACTGGTTTCTATAGAAAAATCTCATGGGGCAGGGCTGGCCTCATATTCTGCTGCTTTCTTGCCCCAAAGGAACCACCACACCATTGGTTGACTACAAGCTTGTTGTTAGGGTGAAAATCACAGGAGAATAACAATTGGGATATTTCTGGAGAAAAGCCTGATTCTCAGGGTCTTACGGTACCTTGAAAAAAATTTTGTCCTAATTTTCGAGAGGGAAAACATTTGAGGGAACGTTTAAGCTTCTCTTTTCTTCTGTGAGAAAGAGTATCTCATTTGTTTTGTGAGAAGGAATACCTAAAGTTTGGAAGCAATGTCAATCAGGAGAGAGGATTTGTGCATGAAAAAGGTCAGTCTTGAAAACTAGCTTGCAAACATTGCCTTTTGGACTCTTGTGCTGAGATATGCGGTATATCTGCATGTAAGCGGTGCAACAGAAGCTCCAGCTGTGTCTCTGCTCCCCAAGTTCCAATTTCTCAGCTTGAAATTAGATACAATAAGTCAGGACTGAAAAGTCACCAAAGTTCAGGCTTAGGGAAAAAAAAAGAGATGAGAGATTCTGCTAAGATTTCAATTATTATTTATTAATTAAAATCAAGCAGATGATATAGGTTGATCCGTAGTTGGAGCGTGCATTTGTTTTTCATTTGTCAAAAACCTAGAAACTAGGAGTGACTAATACCATAATCAACCTTCAGTAATGAGGCAATAAAGAAAGTCTTGAAATGTAGTTCATTTTATGCTAAATAAAAGCTTCCTATGATTAAACTCTTGCACTTTTCTGATGGGATCTCCATGCTATACACAGATTAATATTTCCAAATCACAAAATGATCTTATTAATTTTCTGCACAGAAAGTTTACATTGCTCCATCCTTATTTTTTATTTTATTTTATTATTATCATTTTTTTAGGATAAAAGCCATTTTCCATACAACGGTGTGGAAAATCCTTAAGCTTCTGAGGCCTGTTTATTTTTTTAGGCTCATTTTCCCCTCCTGCTTTATTAAATGTCTTACCGTTTCTTTCCAGCTCCCTTCAAGAATCAGGTCAGTGTTTCTCCTTCAGGAACATTCAATACTCTTCTCTTCCTCAATTTAATTTAGATACTCCCCTGGTACACTGTCACAGCACTTATTGTATTAAATTGCAAACATTTATCTACTTGTCTGTTTCCTTCAGTGGACTGAGTTCTTCGAGGACAAGAAGCTTACCATTCATTTGCTCTCACTCTGCACCCAACTTTTAGCATATTACCATATACCTCTGGATAAAAACTTTTGAAATGTTGAGTCCCTAAATGGCATAGTGCTCAAAACACTAGCCTGTTGTCCAAATCCTAAGGAACTGGTAGGACTGGACGGAGAGATTCTTGAAATAGAATCTACAGAAGTTGGAGTCTGGAATCTGTAGTTTTAAAAACATTATAGGTTATTATAAAAATCCAATTGAGGCTGGGCACGGTGGCTCACGCCTGTAATCCCAAGCACTTTGGGAGGCCAAGATGGGTGGATCACGAGGTCACGAGATCAAGACCATCCTGGCTAACACAGTGAAACCCTGTCTCTACTAAAAATGCAAAAAATTTAGCCGGGCATGGTGGTGGGCACCTGTAGTCCTAGCTACTCTGGAAGCTGAGGCAGGAGAATGGCCTGAACCCGGGAGGTGGAGCTTGTAGTGAGCCGAGATTGCGCCACTGCACTCCAGCCTGGGAGACAGAGCGAGACTCTGTCTCAAAAAAAAAAAAAAAAAAAAAAAATCCAATTGAAAACCTCTTCTCTAATACCTGCCTTAAGATTTATTTAGCTTTTGATTTTAATTTTCATTTTCTGCATCTCACTCTTCTCATCTTATAGTTGACTCTACTGACTGTTCTAGGTTAAACAACTAAAATTCTAATAATAGTAATCATATAGCAGATTAAATATTTGTGTTAACGTGGTCATTATGAAGTTTATTATCCTAGAATACCAGAAACGCATTTTAGGGCACATTATTTTAGCTGTTTCTCTGAGAGAAATCTTTGAAGTGATTAAGCAATCCTTAATGCTTGTCCAATTGATGTAGGGAAACTGTAGTTACATGGTTTGTTGCCTAGTATTGTTTCCTTAGGGGACTATTTGCATAGTAAACGATAGGAATATTTAACACTTTGTTTTTTAAAAATATGATATAGGCTGTAATGATTTAAAGTATACAATAAAGTTATAAATTATCACTTATTTTCTCTTTCTTCCAATGTCAGACTTAGCTAAGTACTACACACGATATTTACATAAAAATAATGTGATATAGTTTGTGTCTCCACCCAAATCTCATCTTGAATTGTTCTCTTATAATTCCCACGTATTGTGGGAAGGACCTGGTGGGAGATAATTTGAATCATGTGGGCAGTTTCCCCATAGTGTTCTCATGATAGTCAATAAGTTTCACAAGATCGGATGGTTTTATCAGGGGTTTCCACTTTTGTATATTTCTCATTTTTTTTCTCTTGCCGCCACCATGTAAGAAGTGCCTTTCACCTCCTGCCGTCATTCTGAGGCCTCTTCAGCTGTGTGGAACTGTAAGTGCAATGAAATCTCTTTTTCTTCCCAGTTTCGGGTATATCTTCATCAGCACTATGATAATGGACTAATACAGTAAATTGGTACAAGTAGAGTGGGGCATTGCCGAAAAGATACCCAAAAATGTAGAAGCAACTTTGGAACTGGGTATCAGACAGAGGTTGGAACAGTTTGGAGGGCTCAGAAGAAGACAGGAAAATGTGGGAAAGTTTGGAACCTCCTAGAGACTTGTTGAATGGCTTTGACAAAAATGCTGATTGTGATATGAACAGTGGGTCCAGGCTGAGATGGTCTCAGATAGAGATGAGGAACCTGCTGGGAACTGGAGCAAAGATGACCCTTGTTATGTTTTAGCAAAGAGACTGGTGGCATTTTGCCCTTGCCCTAGAAATTTGTGGAGCTTTGAACTTGAGAGAGATCATTTAGGGTATCTGGCAGAAGAAATTTCTAAGCAGCAAAGCATTCAAAAGGTGACTTGGATGCTGTTAAAAGCATTTCATTTTAAAAGGGAAACAGAGCATAAAATTTCAGAGAATTTGTAGCCTGATGATGCAGTAGAAAAGAAAACCCATTTTTTAAGAAGAAATTCAAGCTGGCTGCAAAAATTTGCATAAGTAACAAGGAGCCAAAGTTAATCCCTGACAATGGGGAAAATGTCTGCAGGGAATGCCAGAGGTCTTCATGGTAGCCCCTCCCATCACAAATCCAGAAGCATAGGAGGAAAAAATGGTTTTGTGGGCCAACCCCAGGGTCCTCATGCTGTGTGCAGCCTAGGGACTTAGTGCCCTGTGACCCAGCCACTCCAGCCATTGCTAAAAGGGGCCAAGGTACAGCTCGGCCCACGGTTTCAGAGGGTGCAAGCCCCAACCCTTGGCAGCTTCCACGTATTGTTGAGCCTGCGGGTACACAGAAATCAAGAATTGAGGTTTGGGAACCTTCATCTAGATTTCAGAAGATGTTTGGAAATGCCTGGATGCCCAGGCAAAAGTTTGCTGCAGGATCGGGGCCCTCATGGAGAACCTCTGCTAGGGCAGTACAGAAGGGAACTCTGGGTTTGGAGCCCCCATACAGAGTCCCTACTAGGGCACCACCTAGGGGAGCGCTGACAAGAAGGCCACTGTCCTCCAGACCCCAGAATGGTGGATCCACTGACAGCTTGCACCATGCGCCTGGAAAAGCCACAGAGACTCAATGCCAGCCTGTGAAAACAGCCAGGAGGGGGGCTATGCTCTGCAAATCCACAGGGGCGAAGCTGCCCAAGACTATGGGAACCTATCTCTTGCATCAGGGTGACCTGGATGTGAGACATGGCATCAAAAGAGATCACTTTGGAGCTTTAGAATTTTACTGCCCTGCTGGATTTTGAACTTGCGTGGACCCTGTATCCCCTTTGTATTGGTCAAATTCTCCCATTTGGAATGGCTGTATTTACCCAATACCTGTACCTCCGTTGCATCTAGGAAGTAAGTAGCTTTCTTTTGATATTACAGGCTCATAGGCAGAAGGGACTTGCCTTGTCTCAGATGAGACTTTGGACTGTGGACTTTTGGGTTAATGCTGAAATGAGTTTAAGACTTTGGGAGACTGTTGGGAAGGCATGACTGGTTTTGAAATGTGAAGACATGAGATTTAGAGGGGTCAGGGTGGAATTATATGGTGTGGCTCTGTGTCCCCACCCAAATTTCATCTTGAATCATACTCTCATCATTCCCACATGTTGTGGGAGGGATCCAGTGGGAGATAATTTGAATCATGGGGGCGGTTTCCCCCGTACTGTTCTCATGGTAGTGAATAAGTCTCATGAGATCTGATGATTTTATCAGTAGTTTCCACTTTTGCATCTCTCCCATTTTTTCTCTTGTCATCGCCATGCAAGAAGTGCCTTTCACCTCCCGCAATGATTCTGAGGCCTCCTCAACCGTGTGGAACTGTAAGTCCAATTAAACCTCTTTTTCTTCCCAGTTTTGGGTATGTCGTTATCAGCAGTGTGAAAATGAACTAATACATGCACCAGGCACATGGTGCAAGCTGTCAGTGGATCTACCATTCTGGGGTCTGGAGGACAGTGGTCATCTTCTCAGAGCTCAACTAGGTGGTGCCTAGTAGAGACTCTGTGTGGGGGCTCCAAACCCAGATTTCCCTTCTGCACTGCCTTAGCAGAGGTTCTCCATGAGGGTCCCGATATGGTAGATTACTCTCTGGCACACGTGAAAACACATAAACATAATCTTGTGGACATAAGTCAATAGAAATTCCATTTTTTGTTTTGTTTTCTTGATTTTTCCTTATAGTTCCATTACTTTATCTTACATGTCTTCCATGGCTCTGTGAGCCAAAAATATTACATGGTTATCCACATGTTAGATGAGGACAGAGATTATGGCTGCAAGCATGCTGGGCTGGTTTTGTTACCTTGGATAATTCTGCTTATTGGTCCTATAAAGAAACATTTCTGCAAAGAGCATCAGAAATTGTAGATGTTTAATTGTAACTCTCTCCCATTCCATCAAATTCCATATCTTTTTAAAGCTTTTTTAAAGCTCAATTTAAATAGTACTTTGCAAACCTTTTAAAAATACTGACTGTGTTAATGAGCCATGTAAAGTATATCAAATGAAATCAACTTCATATTAATTTTCCTGAAGTTAGAGATTTTAACAGTTTAGTGTAGCTAATGTTGAAAAGTTCCTGTATGGGTTCTAGAACCCTGAATCAAGGAATTTCACTCTTTCTAGTAGGGGTCATATGGAGCAGGACTTCTGTCCTACACAATTTAATAGCACCTTAGAAGTCAAAAAGAAAATAAATGGAAGACTAAACTGTAAAGAATCTGTGGTGAAAGGAATCTCACATTTTTACTAAAGTCCTTCCATGATAACACTTAAAGTACCACAGCCGTCTTTGGGTTATCAGCAGTGTGATAATTTAAAAAAAACTAATCACAATATTATTTACTATTAATCCCTTCAAGTTGTGAGGTTTATATTCCTTATCCTTAAATTTAGATAAAGTGACTACTTTGAGCAATAGAGTATGATGGAAGTGACTTTATGTGACTTTCAATATTAGATTATAAAGGAGATGCAGTTTCCGTCTTGTTCTTTCATTTTATTTTTCTTTGACGCATAAAGATTTTACACATTTCTGTGGTACGTGTGATATTTTGATACATCCATACAAGGTGTAGTGATCAAATCAGGGTATTTAGGATATGCAGTACCTCAAACATTTATCGTTTCTTTGTTTTGGGGACATTCTAAATCTATTTCTAGCCATTTTGAAACATACAATGGATTATTGCTAACTATAGTCACCTTACTGTGCTATCCAACACTAGAACATATTCCATCTACCTAACTGCTTGAGATCAGATCTGGAAAGTTTTGCTACAATAATGAGTGTAAAGAAGTCAAGCCATGTTCAGGTGTCCTGATGACAATCTTAAATGAGCCCCGTTGTTTCTATCATTTGAGATCACCTGTCTGAAATGTGATTGAAGAAACCTCCAGATGAGTCCAAGTCCCATACATGAAGTTATTCAGTTTTCGAGTCTTCACAGCTAAGGTCTCAGCCATAAGGAGAAAGGGCAAGTTATGTCCTTAGTGGTGAGTGCCTCACTCACAGACCCTCTGAGCCTAATAACATGCTTGCCTTATGCCACTAAATTCTGGGGCAGTTTAATTATTGAAGAAACTATTTTCCAGGAGCAGTAAAATTTTTATCATAAACTATACTGTGTCTCTGAATAATGTTATCCACAGCCATCGCTAACATTATCATTTTTGTCTCTTTAGGCAAATGTAAAAATGCTTATAAATAAATATAGAAGCATATCTATCTTTCTAATTATATTCATCAAATATTTATATTCATGGATAAGGGAAATAAATAATTATTTTAAATAAAAATATAAAGTTTGAAACAGGAGTTGAATGTTCATAAATATTTTATTATTTGTATGGTCCACTTGCCCAGTTCCAAATGATTTCAAGTTCTGAGAATTAGTCTGGAAACAAAATAATAAGTAAAGGTTCTCGTGACTGCATTAATTCCATCCTTTTCCACAACATAGTATAAACACTTGCCATATTAATGCCTGTTTTTCTGAAAATCTTTGATACCACAGGCAGAGAGCAATTGTTTGCCAGTTCTTATAATCATAGGTTTTCAGAAACTAGTCATAGAGATATAACTGTGAAGCAGTTTGGAAATATTCACCAAGCAGTTCTCTAGAACTAGAGTTTCTACAGAATGAGAAGTTAGAACAAGCTTTTTTAGCCTTGTATAATATATTCATATCCTTCATATGCTCTCACCAGAAGATTTTCAGTATCTAGACAATCTGAATTACATAATTCAGAATTAAAGCCCTGATCATTCGTTTTTGGATTTGTACCTCAAATCTCAGCCACGTGGCTACTGGAACTTATACCACAGCATTTGCTCTGTTTTGACTTTAATTTCAAGACACCAAACAACAATGCAAGACAGTAATCCTGGAGTGCTGGGGGGACAATGTATTGAGCACTGTGTTTCCTCCAACTTTCAACCTAGACAGAGTTTCCAATTGGTAGTATAAGAAAAGAGAATCCCAGTTAAACTAAAGTGCTTCTGCACAGCAATAGAAGCTACCAACAGAATAAACAGACAACCTACAGAATGGGAGAGAATACTTGCAAACTATGCATCTGACAGAGGTCTAATATCCAGCATATAATTAACTTACAGAAATTTACAATAACAAACAATCCCATTAAAAAGTGCACAAAAGACACAAATAGACACTTTTCAAAAGAAGATCTACATGTGGCCAATGATCATATCAAAAAAGCTCAGCATCACTGATCATTAGAGAAATATAAATGAAAACCACAATGAGATACCATCTCACACCAGTTAGAGTGGATACTATTAAAAAGTCAAAAAATAACAGATGGTGGTGAGGTTGTGGGGAAAAAGAAACCCTTATACACTGTTGGTGAGATTGTAAATTAGTTCACTCATTGTGGAAAGCAGTGTGGCAATTCCTCAAAGACCCAAAAACAGAACTACCATTCAAGCCAGAGTATCATGACTGGGTATATACCCAGGGGAATGTAAATCAATCTATCATAAAGATGCATACACGTGAATGTTCATTGCAGCACTATTTACATTAGCAAAGAGATGGAAGCAACTTAAATGCTCCTCAAGAGCCCCATGGATTCTGTGAGGTAAAGAAACAAGCTGAGAGTCTCTGGAGAAAAAGGCAAGGACTGAGTATTGCAAAGGTGATGGCAGAATGAGAGATACACGTGGTGAGAACTCTGGGGATCTCTCTTAAGTATTCATCTGAGTATTGGTTAGTGCAGGCATGTAGAGAATTTACCTGGGTCTGGGTTAAGAACCACCCTAGAAAGAATAGTGCCTGGTGCCAGGAATACTGCAGGGAAGTACCTATTCCCAACAGAATGAAAAACCTTATGATTCTTAAGGATTCGAGGAGAGTATAAAGAAGGGTTCCACCTCAGTGCTGCGGACCATTTATCCTTAGCCAACATGGTAAATGTCACAATATCTAGCATCCAGTGAAACATTACTAAGATTGCCAAGAACAAAAAAGGAATTTGTGACCCATAATGTGTCCTTCAACTGCTGAATCAAAAACCAAAATATGGTGTATCCATCCAATAATAAACTACTTAAAAATAAACTTTTCATATACATGCATCTTAGAACTCAAAATGATTTTTGAAGACAAAAAAGAGTACATCTACATGATTTAAGTTAAATAAATTTCTAAGATTTACTAAGCTATAATGACAGAACATATATCAGCTGTGTGGAGGGAGAAGGCGAAATTACAAAGGAATGTGGGCAAACAGAGAAAGGGAAATGTTGATTATTTTGATCGTGGTGATGGCTTCATGGGTATGAACATATATGAAATTTATCAATTTATATAGTTAATTATGTACAATCTATAACATTACGATAAAGCAGTCTATAAAGTCAGAATAAAAATATCTTACAAAGGATAAGCTTATTTTCAGACACTTTGATAAGTGTGCCTTAATGATGTTATATTTTAGGAATTATAATTAAAATAATAAATTCAAATATTTCCAGATAATCTATTTTATTACATTAATATAGCTACTTTAAAATCTCTGAATTACTTTTTCTCCTTTTGAAAAATTATATTTAACATTGAAGACAGGCCTAATATTTTGCCTGCTTTGGGGCTTAGAATTGGTTAGCTGCAAATCAACTTTATTTGCTCTTGAGTTCACTGAATTAAAAAAGTTTGTTTTTGTAATTACTTGAAGTATTCCTCTAATTTTTAAAGATAATTTAATTGTTGTATTCCAAAGTTTGTTCCTGCTATCAGAGTTGTATTTTCTAATTAGTGAAGTAAAAAATATTTAGGATACATTTATATTTCACTAAGAAATCCACCTTTACGGACAAATTTCATAGAATCAAAGATTTAAAACTTTTATGCCTCATAGAACTACTTTATTAAACCATGTATGACAGAAATAGACAATTTTAACTTTTTTAACTATAGTAAATATATATATAGAAGCCAGAATAGTTCAATTTGTTATACACCATAAGATTTGCTGATTTTGTTCAACCTCTGTTCTCTTATTTTATGAAAATGAGAACAAGAAGGATTTTCTGAGGTTTCTTCTTTGTTGAATCATTTAAAGCTATTTATGCTTATTTTTCCTGCTTAGAGCCTGTTTACCTTAGCCTAAGTTAACAATCCTGTCTTCTTTGAAGACAGTCTAATTACCGTAGTGGGAACTTTCATCAGCCATCACGTATTGCATCTAGAAGTGCTGGAACAATAACTCAAAGCGACTGATTGACAGCAACTGTTACCAAATTAGCATTTCCATGGAAGCCAGCATCAGTTATCGTCAACAGACATTATCCTCCTCTGAGATTTTCTGAACTGCTTTTCAATAGAGGCCAAATCACTCAGTATGCAATAAAACAAAAGAAACTTTGTCTGAATACTATATTAGGACAGAAGCAAGCATCTTCTGTTACTTCACACTATATGATGTTTAAATTGTATGAGAAAAAACAGATTCTTCCTATTAGACATTACCTTTTGTAGTTTTGCTTTAAATTTAGCATATTTAAAAAATAGCACATACACTGAATTGGAATTTTTAAGTTTTAAAGCTGATTGATTAATGCAGTGTCAATATATGTCATGAAAATAACATGTCTTGCTAGGATTAGGTCTGAGCATATGCGAAACTGCAAAAAAATTACACCTCCTAAGAGATGAAAGTAGACTGCTTGTATTTTATAGCTTTCATTATTCAAAATAAAACACATTAATATTTAAATGCTGAGTCAGAAAGCTAAAAGAGATTTTCAATATGATCTAGTGAAAATGTCTGTATATAGATAGAAACATCAGAGACCATGACTTTCTCAGTATTAAATCATAAAATATTTTTAAAAGGCAAGACTACAACCTGATTATATGAACTCATATCTTAGTGTTCCTCAGACTTTCACATGGACAAACACACACACACACAGACACACACACAACACGCAACACATTTGTATCCTTCTATGCTTAATGATATGTTCTTTTCTAGTTTTATTTATTTAGTCTCAATGTTATTTAACTGCCTTTGATAACAAAGTGCAAGGTTACCTGATTTAAAAATTTCAGTCAATATTAGCATTTAGAACTTTACAACTTTTCAGTCAACCTCTGTGCCGTCAAACATCTCAATGATTTTTTTTTTAACTCTGCACAATACCTGGCAATTCCGAAACTACAGATTCTTAACCCATATCTTGCAGTTGATGTCTGACAAATTAGGTAACTAGTTAAAATTTACTATAGGTAACTGAATTCTGAATCAAATGTAACTATAATAAAAGTTTTTATCGTAATTGACTGCAATCGTACATGTTATATTTTTGGTAGTGATGCTACACCATTAATAGATACATTGATTTGAGTTATACTCAAATGAAGCTAATGACTATTATTGATTTTTATATAAATAGACACACATATGTATTGTAAACACATATATTACTTTTATGAATATGTATGTATGTATCCCATAAGTGGAGATAGTTTCCATACCACTGAAATGTAACCACAGTATTTATGATGTGCACTGTATACTATTTTACACTCACAAAGAAAAAGTTATATTTGAACAAATTGCCTAGATTGATTGCTCCATTTTTCTACTAGATATTTGTAACTTGGACGATTGGATGTCTTATTACCACCTCAGCATTGGCACATCCATATTAAACTAATCATCTTCACTTTGAAATACTTCATTTTAATTAGTTTTCTTAATAATATTTTCATTACTTCTTCCACTACACTAGAATTTTGAGTTCTCATTGTTTTTTTAAATTTATTCTCACTTACTATTATGGTAATTTTCTTTAGTCACCACGTTTTCAAGAAACTCTCTGGTAGCATGTCATAAAATGTGAACAGTTTCTTTTGTCACTTTAAGTGAACACATATCTAATTGTATATACTCTGTAATTATAACTTTCTTAAATTGCATCTATACACAGAAAAACACTGTAGCAAAACAAGAAAAATTAGGAGAGGTAGCTTACTAGAATGCCTAAAGCTTGTTTGAGACTTTCTTTTGGTTTCGAATTTTTAAACTTTTTAAAAAATTTTTAGTACTGTTGCTTCCATTTTTATGTACAAATAGTAAAGAAAACGATTTTTTATGCATAAACGACATTATTAATTCTTATCACCTCCAGGGTTTTCTAACTAGACTATCCCTTCAATCTGGCTAGGATAATGTTGAAATGCTTGTGTTAGTAATCTAACTTGTATGACATGATACATCTGATTTGGCTGTAAATAAATATGGCCACATGTCTTTTTCTTTTGTAATTAATTGCCAACCATATACATGCCTTCAATAACAAGAAATCCACTATTGCTACCATAAATTATCCAGTAATTCTTAGATTTACTCAGTTCAAAGCAGTATACCCTGCTTTTATACCCTGCCAGGTGGATCTTTGTGTTGCCAAAACACCGTCTTGACGGTGGCCCCTGCTCATTCCTGTTAGATGCGTCCGGTTTTCTGCTTCCTTGTTTCTCTGGCATCTCCATGTGTCTCCATCTCTTGGACTGACTTCTCACATATGTGGCTCACAAGGTTATCACCATAACATACAAGTTTAATAATAGTTGATTGATTCAAGAAGCCAGAGAATGAACTAGGTAAATCCTAAAGAATTTGAATATAGTAAACAATAAAGAGTCATAAATTAGTCAAAGAGAAATCAGATGAATAAATGGGGAATTGACACAGAATATGAGAAATGACAAAGAAAACTTGATTAATATTTCAAAATGTTTTTTACCACACTTATTTCCCTTAATGACTAATATGACAATTCCACTGCAGATAATCTAACATCCTTTCACTTGAATTCTCCATGCTCACTTTATTTGCCAAAGATACTCTTCCTAGAGATAATCCTTTCTTCCTCTGCTATACCTATGCTTTCTTAGGTATGTAGAAATTTTGGAAAACACTTTTTAAAAAATTATCAGAAAATACTGAATAATGCTATGGTTTGATAAAATAAAAAATATTAAAATAAAATGTATTATGTTAACAAAATACTCAATTATATTCTATGTTAGTTGAGAAACATTGTGATAAACATTGAAAAAAAGTATCAGTAAAGCCAAATCACTGTGCTCAAGGTGTACATAATCTAGATAGAAAGTTAGAACATTTACTTTTATTATAATGATTAAATTGAATAATGCCATGAAAATAATATCACTATTTACTAGAGAAAAAAAAGTTTCCATAAAGAATTACGAAAACTCATAATTTAAAGTAGTGAAAAATATTATGTAAAAGCACAGAAGGGGTTCGTGTGTGTGTGTATGTGTGTGTGTGGGTGTGTGTGGGTGTGTCTGTGCTTATGAGGAAAAAAAAGACATCTATCTAGACAAAGTTGTTGGCAGAGCTGGTCTCTCTGAAATCCCTCTTTTTGGTTTGCAGAATGCCACCTTCTCACTGTGTTTTCACCTGGCCTTTTTTCGGTGTGTGGCTGCTCTCCTGGTGTCTGTTTCTTCTTATGAGGACATTGGTCTTATTGAATAAGGGCCCACACTTAGAAGCTTATTTACTCTCCATTGAGTCCTTAAAGACCTGTCTCCAAATATATTCCTATTGGCAATTAGGGCTTCAATCTATAAATTTGGGGTTGATACAATTTAGTCTTTGATACCTAGCTTACAGATTTTTCTGACACCATAGTGGATGGTGAATTGCAAGAATATAGGCAACAGAAGTAGATAAAATGGATGAATTCCAGATTTGGTGACAGAGTGCAAACTGGAAAGGAGGAAGGACATAACAGTCCCCTGTAATTCACAGACTTCTACCTGCATGGTCCAAGAAGCCTTTTACAAAGATGTGGATTTTAGTATGTGATCAACAGTGAAAGAAGATACACTAAAAAACTCTATTTTTAAACAAGTAAATAACATTATGCTCTTAAAATAAAAAGCACCCACCAAAGATATATGGATACACAAAATAGATCATTCAAGAGCAGCAATATTTTCTTTTATGTAAGTTTAATGAATAATTAATTTGGCTAACTTATTGGATGAATTTCATCTAGATTTCAGAAAAGCATTTCACAAGGTCTCACATGATGTCCTTGAAAACAAAAATTCATTTTGTTGGAAGGCAAGGCATTTGGGTGGGATTGTAAATGGTTGATCATGTTCAGAAAGAGCTATAATTACTGAAAATCTGTCAAGAGAGAATACAGATTCTAGCGGCATGCAAGAGAAGCTCTTGTCCTGCTCTGTTTTACATTTTTATCAATGACTTGCATGATTACAATTGCAGCCAACAAAAAACTGGAAGTGATAGCTATTATGTTGGATGACAGATATCAGATGCAAAGAAGAAACAAAGGATATAAGATGTCCTATGAGAGTTGCATTGGAAAATCAACACAATGGATCAGAGGACATTTATACAAAGTTACCTCAAAGGCAGACAAGGTCCCAGACTTCAAAGGCATAGCTGTAATTTGGCTGAATGCATTATCTTATTTCCAAAAAGTATATGTCACTCAAAAGCATGAGGTAGCAATCATAAGAGTGTGGGAAAAAGGGACTTACAGAAGCAAAGATTGGTTGTTTCAATTCTATTTCTAATCAGGGAAGAATGAATCTTAGACAATATATTTTAAATAATAATATTTCATCAGCAAAGTTGACCTATTACTATCTGGGATAAAAATATTAAGCTTTCTTATCCTGGTGCCAATAAGTATGAAATTAATCTATTAACTTAGTTTGTAAAATGCTCATAAAACAACCTGATCCTACTATTTTTTCCTACCTTATATGCATAAAGGGAGAGAATGAATTGCTAATATGAGGTAAATGATTCCCTTCATTTAAGAGCTATACTTCTATTTTGAATAAGTAAATTGTTCTTGTGGCTTCATAGATCAATTTGGAAAACTTGATTAAGTTAGTTTGCAAGTGAGACATGGACCCATCCTGCATGTAATTATACAATCAGTTTTCTGGCTCTGCAAATACAAGAGTCAGATCCTGAACCACAGTAAATTAGTGAATATATGAGTGTCACAGTGAGAGACCTATTGAAGGACAACTTCTGAACATTGCCAGGAGATATACCATGCAGCATAATCATTAACTATTCAGGGTCAGCATTTATTCTAATTTTGTAGTTCTAGCTTGTATTAAAAATTAGTTATAGAAAAATAGTGACAGGTAGTAATCCACATCAACATGCAAGGAAAATGTTTATAAATATTTTTAAATGACAAGATCAATAAGAATAACATAACATGAAAGAAAAATGTATTGCACCTTTGACATATTTAATAGCATCTGTGCATGCAGATACAAATATATGACGTATTTTAAGCTATAAAACCTGTATGGTAATATGTAGTTCTTGTAAAATATTTTAAGAGAGGCTTTGAATGGAATCCTGTTAAGAAAGGAGCAGATAGAATGGTTAGGGGAATATAACATATATAACTGAAGTGCATTGTTATAAAAAATTAAGGACAAGAAAAATATATAAGTAATAATACATACTTGTATGTCCATCAGCTAGCTTCATAAATTAACATTGCCAATATTGTTGAAATCCCCTCCCTAATTTAATTCCCTATTCATTCTGCAGAGATGTCTTCTATAGTGAATTTTATGTGTATCACTCTGATTCATCGTCTACAGCTTTACTGTATACATAGACATTTATAAGCATACTGTGATGCTATTTTATATGTTTTTAAACTTTAGGGAACTTGAACCCATGATATACATCTTCTGAAACTTATTTTTTCCAAGCAAAATTATGTTTGTAAAGTTTATATGCATTGATAGGTGCTGTGCTATTTCATTTATATTCACTGCTTCACAGTATCTCATTATATGAATATGTATGAAAATGTTATTTCTTTAATATTCTCTGTTAATAGCTATATAAATAGTTTCCCACTTTATTTTTTCCACAGCAAACAACGCCATGAACATTCAGAAACACATGTTGTGTGCATATTTCTATTTCTGTAATATACACACTTGGAGTACATGGTTGACTTACAGATTCAATGCATCTTTGATTTTACTACATTTTGCCAATCATCTCCTCTGTGTATTTACACTGAGTAGTCTACCCACCAATAAAAAGGTTACTGTTCTGCTTTCTCACAACATGTGATATTCTGTTTCCTGTCAGCATTATGGGTGGGAAAATATATCTCATAATGGTTTGAATTTGTAATTTTATAATTACTAATAGCGTTGAACATCTTATAATTTGTTTTATAAGCTTTTTATGTTTTGTTTCTGGTGTAATAGTGTTCACAGCTTTGGTCCTTTCTGACTGACTTCTTAATGCATACTATATATGGCAATTTGTTGCCATTTTTTTGGCATGCGATGTCAGGATTCAATTTCTTTTTAAATAAATGTTTTATTGTTCAATAAATTTAGATTTACAGAAAAGTTGCAAATGCAGTTCAAAGAGTTCCTATATACCCCTTATCTAGTATCTTCATTATCAATATCTTACATTACTATGATACATTTTCCAATATTAAGAAATTGACATTGATATATTACTCTTAACTCCAGAAAATATTTGGATTCAGCCATGTTTTCATTAATACCCTTTTTCTGATCCAAGGTCCAATCCAGGGTAGCACTTTGTGTTTAGTTGTCATGTTGCTAGTGTCTTCTGGTCTGTGAAAGTTTCTCAGACCTCCCTTGTATTTAATGACATCAACAGTATTAAGGAGTTCTGGAGTTGGAGACCTCACACCTCCTGATTTCAAATTGTATTACAAACATATAGTAATCAAAGCGGTTTGGTACTGGCATAAAAACAGAAATATAAATCAATGGAATAGAATAGAAAGTCCAGAAATAAATCCCAACATACATGGTCAACACATTTTTTACAAAGACATAATAGAAAAAGGATATAATAGGAAAAGGAGAGTCTCTTCAAGAAATGATGCTGAAAAAACCGGACTTCCACAGGCAAAATAATAAAATCAGAGCCTTATCTTACACCAGACACAAAAATCACTTCAAAATGGAGGAAATATCTAAGTGTAAAACCCGAAACTATGAAACTCCTAGAAAAGAACACAAAAGAACAGCTCCTTGACTTTGGCAATTATTTTTTGATATCACACCGAAGGCTCAGGCTACAAAAGCAAAAATAAATACATTGGACTACATTGAACCAAAAACCTTCTTCACAGCAACAGAAACAATCAACAAATGAAACGTCAACCTACAATATAGAAAAAAGTATTTGCAAGCCACGTCCACATATCTGATAAGAGGCTAGTATACAAAATGTATAAACAATCTTTATAACTCAATAGCAGAAAAACAACTCAGTTAAAAAATGGGCAAGAACCTGAACAGAGAGTTGGCAAAGAAGACATAAAAATGATTAACAGGTACATACAATACTGTGTCATACGTACAATATTGTGTCAATATTGTATGTCAAAAAATGGAAATGAGTTGCCAAATGTAGTGTGCATTAAAAAGTCAGTTAGAAAGGACCAAAGCTGTGAACAATATTATACAATATCCCCAATATCAGAAAAATGCAAATTAAAACCACTGCATCACCCCATACCAGTTAGAACAGCTATTAAAGACAAGAAATAACAAATATTGCTGAGGATGTGGAAAAAGGGAACCCTTGTACACTGTTGGTGGGAATGTAGCTTGGTATGGCAATTATATAACAGTATGGAGGCTTCTAAAGAAATTAAAAATAGAGCTGCTATATGACAGCAATCACTTCTCTGGGTATATGCCCAAAGAGATGAAATTACCACCACATAAAGGTATCTGCATTTATGTTTATTGCAGCATCAGTCACAATAGCCAGGGTACAGAAACAATTGTCATTAATGTACGAATAAAGAAAATGTGGTGTGTATATATATATGTATTCACACACACACATACATACATACATTTTAATTATATACTCAAATGTGTGTATATATATGTATGAATATACATATGAATATACAAATATTATTTAGTCTTTGGAAAAGCAGATCATGTCATTGGCCACAATGTGGTTGACCTGGAGGACATTATACAATGTGAAAGAAGCCAGACACAGAGAGAAGAATACTACATGGTATTACTTATATGTAAAAACTGAAAAAAAAAATCAAAGTCAAATATATACAAATACACAGAGATAAAAAATAAAACAATGGTTACCAGGGGTGGTGAAGCTATAGGAAATGAGGAGATGTAGGCCAAACGGTACAAGTAGCAGATATGCAGGAGAAACAAGTCTAGAGCTCTAATGTAATGAGGATTATAGTTCATGAGATTCTATTGTATAAGGGATTTTCTGTTAAATAAATAAATGTTAGCTGTTATTCTCATCGACAAACATAACTATGTCAGATGACAGATATATACATCTGCTCCACTATAGTAGCCAATTTACTGTCTACATGAATGCCATAACATCATGTTGTAAACCTCAAATATACACAGTCAAATTTATTTAAAAAATAATAAAAATAGAAAAAAATTCCACTGAGATGATCTATGGGTTTCTCTCTTACAACATTATTTTGACAAATTACATGCACAAATATTGTGAATATGTTAAGAAATTTACTTGCATTATTACATACTCACCACTTGTTATTAATGCACATGTTATATAATTGTGCATTTATTTTACTAATATACAAGGTTTTTAATCTAGGGTTATAATTTATAGTATGTAGTAACTTACCTTTCTTATAATGTGAGTTAAGTAGTAAACTGTATTTTTATTTCAGATAATGGATTGTGGTTTCTTTTTGCTTATTCTCTAAAATAATTTGAAAAATAATTTGAGTTATTATTTTCTTGAATGTTTGATAAACACTTCTCTGAAAACCATCTGTGCTCAGTGATATTGATGGATGGATGCTAAACTAGAAATTAAATATGTGTAACAGTCGTAAAACAATTTATGTGTTCTATTATATATTGAGTATTATTAAATAATTATGCTATTTTATAAAATGCTTTTCCAAGTTTTCAAATTTATTATTTTTATTACATTTTAACCTGAAATAATACCTCTCACATTATTATTATTGTTACTTGTACTAATTTATATCTCAATTTTTCTCGATCAGTATTGTTAAAAGTTTGTCTATTAAATATGTTTTCAAAGATTTAAATATTTATTATATAAAATCTCTCTACAGACAGACCTCAGAGATATTGTGAGTTTGGTTCCAGACCACTGTAAGAAGCAAATGTTGCACTAAAGTCGGTTACATGGATGTTTTGGTTTCTCAGTGCATCTAAAACTTATGTTTACACTATACTATAGTCTATAGAGTGTCAAATAACATTATGCTTAAAAAATGCACATACCTTAGTTTAAAAATGCTTTATTTCCCCCCCCAAAAATAATGATTATATGACCCTGTAGCCAGTCATACTCTTTTTGCTTATGGAGGGCCTTGCCTTGATGTTGATGGCTGCTGACTGATCAGGGTGGTGGCTGCTGAAGGTTGGGGTGTCTATGACAATTTATTAAAATAAAACCATGAAGTTTGCTGCATCAATTGACTCTTCTTTTTACAAAAGATTCCTTTGTAGCATCTAAGGCTGCTAGCATTTTATCCACCATAGAATTTCTTACAGAATTGAAGTTAATCCTTTTAAAACCTGCCACTGCTCTATCAACTAAGTTCACTATCTTATATTGACATGATGTGGTGTCCAAAAACAATTACCAAAGTAGTATCAATGATCACTGATCCCAGATCACTATAGTAAATTTAATAATAGAAAAAAACTGTAAGTATTGGGAGCATTAACAAATGTGGCACAGAGACACAAAGTGAGCACATGCTGTTAGAAAAATGGTGTTGATAGACTTTCTTAATGCAGGTTTGCCACTCTACTTCAGTTTGTAAAACATGCAATACTATATGCTAAGTCCAATAAAATGAAGAGCAATAAAGTAAGGTATGCCTGTATTTTATATTTGTATTGTATTATATTAATATCTGTTTGGTGTTTTTTATTTTTTCTCTTTTTTTTATTATGCAAGTAATGCAAAATACTCTTTAGTTTTGATATTTAGCTTATTAATTTTATTCTTTAATTGTTCATGAAGGCATGTGAATGATTTTAATATCATTCTCAATACTATGTTGGCCACATTGTTCAGCATAATTTATCATGCTTTCTTTCACTAACTGGTTACTTAAAAATATGTCTATATATTAGTAACTATTTTTTGTTTTTGTTTTTATAGTTATTGCTGTCATGGATCACTACTGTAGTCACATTATGTTGAGAAAATACAGTCTAATTCTTTAAAATTTATTGAGACTCACATAGTAGGTAATCAATTTTTATAATTTCTGTGTCAGAAAAAATGTGGATTATATTATTATAGTATGTAATATCCTCTATGAACTCCCAATAATGTTTGTTCATTTGATTGTTCAATCTTCTGTGGAAACTCTTCACGTTGGTACAAATTTTTTGGTTTTGTATTCACTTGATCTATAAATTACTCACAGACATATTACGTAAAGTCTAACCAATATTGTGGCTATTACAATGTCCATTGTGTTTTCATTATTATTTGATTTATATATAGTTTAACAGTTTTTATTAACATAAAACATACAAGAAATGGGCAAATCATAAGTATGTAGCCCATTGAAGTATCAAAAAGTTGTTAATATCTAATCATCAAACATATTAATAATAGAATATTACCACTCCCACAGAAGCCCACACACCACTTCTAAAAAGGAACCGCTATTCTGATTTCAGTTGCATAGGCTATTTTTGCCTGTTTTATGAAATTCATAGATTATGCATTCTTCCGTGGCTTGACATATTATATTTGTGAGACTCTTCGGTGTATTATATGGCAATAATTAATTAATTTTAAATTTTGTATATTATTTCAACAGTAAATGGCTTGATATACCATAGTTTATTATTTTGCTGAAGAGAAGAGCTTTCAGCTAGTACGCATAATGCTGCTATAAACATTCCTTTAAATATCCTTCAGTGCACATACACATGCGTTTTATTTAGTTAATAGGTGACAGATTATTAAAATGTTCAAATGTAATAAATATTGTCAATTAGTCTCTAAAAGTGACTTTTTAAACTTCATTTCTACCAGGAATATACGAAAATTCTCATTATTTCCCATCCTCACTGATACTTGGTACTATCATTCTGTGTAAATTTTCAGTATTCTGATGGGTGTTTTTTTATTCCAATGGATTTTTTTAAATTTTCCTGAAGATTAATGATTTTGAGCATATGTTTGAAATATTTGTTGGCTTCTTAGATTTCCCCTTATGTGAAAAGCTTGCTCAACGTTCTCCTAATTTTTTTGTTTGGGTTGTCCACTGGTTTAAAGGAGCCCTAGCTTTATTCTGGTTATAAATTTTTATTGGATAAACATGTGGCAAATACCTTATATTACTTCATGGCCCGTTTTGTGATTCCTTTGGGGTTGTCTTTGAGGAATTAATATTTCTAATAAGATTTCTTCCCAGTGTCCAGTTTTGGTTTTAAGTATTTTTATGTTTGTGCTTCTGCTTCTGAAAATTAATATTTGATTCATTTATTCTAAAACTATGTTAAAATTAAATATATTTTTAAACTGTCATTTCATGCTGGTATACTCAAACTTTGCCATATCATAATATTCTTTATAACTAGTAACATTTTGCCACAATTAAGGTATATGTCACTTTGTTTAAAAACACTTAAAAAATTGTGCTGTACTTTTTAACTCTTAAAAAAGAAACTCTGAACATCTTTTGTTTTAATTGGAGAACTTTTCATTTTATATTTATATTGGTTATTGATGCATTTGAATTTTCTGTAAATTTGAGCTTTTGTTATAAAAAATGAACATTATTATTATCAGTTCTTTGCACAATGGGTAAATATTAGAATTATACACCTTTTATTTTCCCACCATTTTGTATCTTACACCTTCTATTTAGGATCAATTATCAGTTTTCTAAAGTAATTATTAATCTATTGACAACATATAGTTATAGTTAACGAATTACTTTTGGAAAGGCCTTTCCTATGCCCTCATAACTGAAGATTTTTTTAACCTAGGGGTAGATTTTCAGTTTTACAGTTATTTTCTTTTCACAATTTGAAGAATTTATTTCAGGCTTTTCTATTGATCTTGCAGATTCTCATGTTACATCCTTTATTGTTCTTTGTACATAGTATTAATTTCACTGGTTATTTTAAATATATATTTGTTTTAGTATATTTTGGGCAGTTGTCAGTTTTTTTTTTTTAATTTCTTTTCGTGTATTTTGCCTAGCTTTTGGTGTGTTTTCAGAATTTAAGGTTTAGCGACTTTCATCAGCGTAGAAAATTCTCAGTAATTTTCTCATCAACTGTGACTTATTCATATCTACATCATCTCGCCTTCTGGGAATCAAGTTAGACCCATGGTGAATGTTCTCATTTTTGTCCTCCATGCTTGTTTACTCTTCTCATATATATATATTTTGTTTGGTTGGCTGGTTTTTTTGACGGAGTCTCGCTCTGTCACCCAGGATGGAGTGCAGTGGCGCGATCTCGGCTCACTGCAAACTCTGCCTCCGGGTTTCACGCCATTCTCCTGCCTCAGCCTACCGAGTAGCTGGGACTGCAGGCGCCTGCCACCTCGCCCGGCTAATTTTTTGTATTTTTAGTAGAGACGGGGTTTCACCGTGTTAGCCAGGATGGTCTCGATCTCCTGACTTCGTGATCTGCCCACCTTGGCCTCCCAAAGTGCTGGGATTACAGGCGTGAGCCACCGCGCCCGGCCTTCTTTTATATTTCTTTGTTGAATTCTTGTTAAATTCTTCATATTAGTTTTTTTTTTCTGTTTATTAATGTTCTTTGGCTCTGTCCAGGTTGCATTAACCCTATCTATTTAACTTTAGAAAATCTCTCTCCCTGTCTTTCTCTGTAGTCAGGTAGGCAGATAGATAGATTTAGGTTTAATTATACATATAGATATTTACATTCACATAATTTCTAGAAGTTATGTGGTACTTTTTAAAATCATGCTTGATTCTTTTGACAATATTTTATTTCTGGATTATATTTCTATTTATTTTTTGCCTTTTAAATTAAGTATTTAAACATCAGTATCAATTATCTCCATATCTGAAGCTGCCTAGGCCCAAATTTTGACTTTTGGGGGAATTATGCTATGCTTATATTTAACATGAATTATTCTAGGCAGCATTTGTATTTGTTTCTGACAGCAACCTGAGGTGCCATTAACCAGGGATCACTTTAAATTTATATTTCATACTAGGGGATCTTGAACCAAGCATCAGTATAAACTCAAATGCACAAGGCAATTCTGTGACTGGAAAACATACATATATTTGCCAGTTCCCAGGGCAGAATTATTTTGTCCTATTTGGAACGGAGGCCAAGATAGTTAATTAAACACACTGTCTTTGTATGTGGGCTGATTTTTTTTTTTCCTTTTTTCCCCAGTCTACCCTGTCACAGGCTGTGCAACCCTCCAAGCCTCTGGCTGCTTGTGGAAGTCTTGGTTCCTACCTCACTTTGACAAGGGTTTACTCCTTTTCAGTGGTCTCCACATGACCATAAAAATCCCTAACGTTTAGTTTTACAATCAGCAAATGTCCGTAGGATGGCTCTGAATTTGCTTACATGTATAATAGTCATTTTTATTCCACTTTTGTCTCCAGGAATTTCTTTTTTTTTTTGAAGTTTAGCCATCATTTGAAAATATTTCATTTTTCCTAGTATGAATGACTAGGTTTGATAAAGCAGGGAAGCTTCTAAGGACATTAATTCAAGAATATTTTTGCATTGCAAATACATTATTACCCTTGTAGGAAGTAGCATTTCCTCCAGCATTTTAGCCAACTGAAAACATGCAGCGTTTGAAAGATCACGTATTTTAACATGTTGTATTAAAAATTAACAAGGAAAGAAAAATACATAGTTGTCCCGTGAAGACAGTAGGATACCATGTGAAGAACACTCACTAGAAACGGAATTAATCCCCACCCAGAGAATTTCCTCTACATTATGCCGACAGGTGGTAATTCAATAGTCAGAAAATCTACATAGTGACAATAAAGCACGTGTAATTTTGAAAAAGTTCTCCTTGTGAAAAATGATTCCTTTAGATTGATTGCATATCTGATTGCCTGAATGAATATACATAGAAATACATATTTTTCTTTCCTCGTTTATTTTTTAATACAACATACATATGTATAGATAGAATTGTATAGTGAGTCTGTATACATTACTCAGTTTCATCAATTGTTATCTTAATGGCCAGTCTTGATTCCTTTATTTACAATTAATTCACTTGTTCTTAAATATTTTGAAGCAAATCCTACAAATATTTAATCCACTTGTATTTCAGTATGCATCTCTATGAAAGAAGGATTCCTTTCCAAAAAGCATACTCATATTATCGTTATAAACTCCTTTTGCAAACTTGTGCTGAAGGAATTCTGTCATCTACCTATCCATCTACCTACCTACCTATCAATCATCCATCTGCTATAACATTGACCAAATAGCAATAACAACAGGGAATCAGATATGTTATCAATCTAAAGGAATTCTATTCCACAAGGAAAACTTTTCCAAAATTACATGTGCTATATTGTCACTTTGTAGGCTTTCTGACTTGTGGATTACTGAGGAAATTCTCTGAGTGGGGATTAATTCTGATTCTGGCGTTCTTTGCATGATATCCCATTGTCTTCACTGGACAACCTAATGGGCCAAGTTGGTGGTAAAAGTGAGATTATCCATCAAACGAGTGAAGAATGTTATTGAAGATTTCCAACTGGAAATCACATGCACTAAGTTATAATCATTTCTGATTTTGACTTTTAGGTATTTTATGTAGAAGTTACACAGTCATGAATTTTTAAGTTGAAAACTTAATGTGAAGATATCCTTGCTTTCTGAAATAAGCCTATTCTAATTATAATTATAACGAATAAGTCCTATATCCATATGTATCTGCTCTACAGATATTTGTCAGGTGCAGCTTGGATGCAAGTTTTTATTCTTTCTCCAGCATATTTACTTCAAGCAATACTTTCAATTGCCATATTAATTTTAATGTGATTTGTAACATAAAAACAACTTTCCCCCTACTTTAGTTCCTCTTTGATGTATTTGTGATTAACCACTGTTTCCAAATGAATGCATCTGAATGAGAGAAAAATGAGATGTAATTGTTCTGCTATATTGCTGTCATTGCTATGTCACATATTTAACATAATCTTAATCCATTCGATGTTCCAAACACTAAGTCCAACAATATCATTTTATTATTATAAACATCATACAATACACATGTTAACAATTGCCTCATTGTTACAAAATGTTCTTCTGCCTATCTATGTGTCTATAAATTTTATATCTATACATGCAAACCTATATATATATACACACATACACACACAACTAAATATATGTGTATACACACACTACTATATATAGTACATACAGTGTGTATATATATATAATGTGTGTACATATATATAGTGTGTATATAGTATATACATATATAGTTACAACCTCTGCCTGAAACTAACCATCTCTTTCATTCTTTAGGTGTCAAGTTATTATTTTACTATATATGTACATGCTTTAGCAATTATGCTTTATCCAAATTTCTCTTTTTACTAAGTGTGAAGATAGTTTCAATGCCTGTCATTAATCTCTCCTAATCTCATTTGAACATTTTTAATATTTCCCATTTATAAAGTTTCAAATTTATAACTATATGTTATCTTTCACCAGTCAATACTCATAGCCATAACACTTACCTAGATAACCCCTAATTCAAATTCAATTCGTATTCTACTTATCTTTTTTTTTTTTTTTTTTTCTTTTGAGACGGAGTCTCGCTCTCTCGCCCAGGCTGGAGTGCAGTGGCGCAATCTCGGCTCGCTGCAAGCTCCGCCTCCCGGGTTCAGGCCATTCTCCTGCCTCAGCCTCCTGAGTAGCTGGGACTACAGGCGCCCGCCACCACACCCGGCTAATTTTTTGTATTTTTAGTAGAGACGAGGTTTCACCGTGTTAGCCAGGATGGTCTCGATCTCCTGACCTCGTGATCCGCCCACCTTGGCCTCCCAACATATTCTACCTATCTTTTAAGATCTTAATAAGGTTCTTTTTTCCCCATGAATTTTACATTTATCTACTCAACTACCAACAATCCCTTTATTTTCCGAATTTTTTAAATCCTGATTTTATGATCTACTTTTCTTAGCTTAATTTATAATACTGACATCACATTATTTGTAGCTGATTTGCTATACCTAAAACATTAAAGGAATTGTAAATTCATTACAAAGTTATGTATTATCTGTTTTCATATCTGTATCTACTACCAATGCCTCACAAGTGCCTTTAAAAAGCCTGTTCATAAGATATATATCAATAAATACTTGTTAAATTACATTGGCTTCAGAGACTAACACTTTTCTCAATAATAAAGGCCATTTTTTACCTATTTTACTAACTTTGCTGACACAAGTAAAGCTTTAGCTTTCTTATTCGGACAATGCAAATTTATTTAAGTGTATGTGAGTTAACTCATGGTGATCAATACAGATTCAATTGAAGTGAATAAGGGAATTTGTAAGACAGAAATAACTAGATTGAATGTTAAATTTCTCTCAATACTCTTAACAGTTATTTGCCATCCATTTCCCTTAAGATTATCAAGTTAGAAATACCTTTATTACAACAAATTGCATAGTATCCACAAACATTCAGAAATGTGCCTTTTCATTTGATCCTAAAATTAGGATAAACTCTACACTGTTTTGTATATAGAAAAACATATTGGCCTCATTAAGATTAGTAATGAGAATTGATTTTACAGGGTGTAATCTGAATTTTATGCATGTCATTCTAACTGGGCTAATGAAATGATTTTGGTTGCCAGAAGCATTGCAGCCTGGCTATCTGAAGTGCAGCATTTTACATGAGCTGCCAGAAATAAAAGCATTCATTTGCACTTCTAGACAGAAAATGTGGGTGTCTACAGACTGCCATACAGAACTAGAGAAATCCAATTGGACAATAAAAAACTTTAAAGCATCTCTCCAGATGGCTGAGCTGCTGTTCCTTCACGTGGAACTGCAACACCCTACTTTAGGTGATGGCATTTCTGCCTGTGTATGAAAATTCAGAAGAGAAGTTTAGAATTCAAAGAACAGTATTCGGCTATGTTGGTGATCAATATTTTTAGCTTGATTTTTTTAGGTGTGAAATTTATCATACCCCTGATGACAGGAATATATAAGTTTCTTCTACTAACTGAGTAAATATTAGCATTCCTTACAAACAGCAGCAAATATATCTAATGGCACACAAAGGAAGAAAATATGGCAAAGAGATACTATGACTGATATATTGACAGTCAATAGTATTTTTTAGGAGGAATAAATTGAAGATTTCTTCCTTGTGTTTTGTATGATAAAAATTACTTGGGTGTCATTTTAGCTTTTATAAAAAATGACTAATGGCTATACAACTATTATTCTCAGGAATCATCTGAAATGGCAGCCAATAGCTTCTGGATATATTAGATTTTTATTGGTGTACAGATGTGTATAATTACTGCCTTGCTTCGCTTGAATAGAAGCCATCTGTTTATCTTAGGATGATTAGAACATTTAGCAAATTTAGTTACTTTAGCAGAATCTGAATTCTGGTTTTTTTTTTTATTTTTTATTTTTCACTTCATGTGATTTAAGTGACCATTATGAGAAAGACTCCCTGGATACTTTAACTTCAAAAAAACCTTGAACTGTGAAGAAACATACTGGCATTGACAAGTAAAAATGTTTTTTTCTTACAAAGGCTGTATTAAATTCATTTTGCTAAAATGTTATATTAAATACATATTTATTCTACATATATTAAACAGATCAATTTATTCAATGTTATACATTAATGGTGAGCTTTATTAATTCCTTTGGTTTTATATCTACTCTGCAAGAAATGAAAACTTGTCCTGCTTCCATCTTTTAAGGTGGCAGACCATTTTGATTTTCTGATATTGATTGATCCTTGAATTTGTAAAAATAATTTTATACACACACACACACACACACATATATATATATATATACACACACACATAAAACATTGCTTGTTCCAGTTATCTATTACTCCACAGTGACATAGCCCACAAGGTTAAGTAACAAGTATTTAAATATATCTCAACATTTCGTAGGTTGGGAATTTGAGAAAGGTTCTGCTGAGTAATCCCTATACTTCAAATGGTGCCAACAGACATTTGGTGGCATTTGTCTGGAGGATAAATTGAACCTGAGGCCCAAGTTGGTTTAACTAACATTCATATTCTGGTGACTTTGTAGGGATGTTTGCAAATCTGGAGCTACCATTGGAGCATCTTCACTTGGCTTTTTATGTATCTTGGGCTTTCTCAGAGCATGTTGCCCTTAGTGGGTATTTCAGTTTCTAATATGTCAGCTCTTGTTTCCAAAAGAGCAACAGTAGTATGTAGTTGCTAATATTCTTAGAGTTGTCAAAATGTTACCTTAACCTTTTCCAGGGTACGATGCTTATCCTATTTTTAAAATTTATTAATTTTTATTTTTCATAATCATTGGTTAAATTCACCAACAAATTCTGTTAATATCTGAGCTTCAGTTGTTTGGTTTTGCTATTGTTGCATTTCATTCCTTCCTTTGTATGCCTTTTTATTCTTGTAGAAGTAACAAAAATAATCAGATTTTTAAATGGGCAAAAGAACTGAATAGACATTTCTCAAAAGAAGACATATAAATTCCCAAAAGGCATATTTAAGAAGTGTTCAAATCAGTAATTACCAGGAAAATGTAAATCAAAATCATGATGAAATACCTCCTCACTCCAGTTATAATGACTACTATCAAAAACATAAAAAATAACAAATTCTGGAGAGGATTTCAGAAAGGGGAATTCTTATACTCTGTTGATGGGAACTTTATTTTGTATAGCCATTAGTAAAACGGTATGGTGGTTCCTCAAAAATAAAAATGAAAATAAAAATAAAACTGCCATATGATTCAGCAATCTCACTAAATGGTACATATGCAAAGGAAATAAAATTAGTACGTTAAACGGATATCTGTATTACAGCATCATTCACAATAGCCAAGATATGAAATCAACCTACGTTTTCATCAGTGGATGAATGAAAAAAGGAAATGTGACATATATACACATTGGAATACTATTCATCCACAAAAACGAAATTCTGCCATTTGCAATGTCATAGATGAACCTGGAGGACATTATGTTTAGTGAAATAAGCCAAGCACAGAAGGACAAATGTTACATGATCTCACTCATATGTGGAATCTAAAAAAGTTGGATCCCATAGAAGTAGAGAGTACAATAGTGGTTGCAGGGGACTGAGGAAGGTAAGAGGGAGGGGAGAACCAGGAGTGATTGAACAGCAGGTGCTATGTTACAATTAGATAAGAATAAGATCTGGTGTACTATTGCACAGTAGGGTGATATAGTTAGTAATTACTTATTGTGTAGTTCAAAACAGCTAACAAAGAGGATTTTGAATATTCTCACCATAAAGAAATTGTACGTATTTCTGAAGGCTAATATGTTAATTCCTGATTTGATCATTACAGTGTATACACATATGAAAACATCACATTGTACGTTAGAAATAGGTACAATTGTGTGTCAATTAAAAATAACGTTAAAAAACAGATTGAGAAAAAAATTTTAAAGCTTAAGAATTATATCAGCAAAACCCAAAACGTTGAAAATATATCCTTTACTATTTCTTTTGGTGAATATCTGTATCCCAAAGCCTTTTATTTTGCCCTTATAGTGAATGCTAATTCACCCCAACTTTAAGTTCTAGACTAAACATGATTTTCTTTATTATTTTCATTTCAATTTTAATTGTGTTTTGGCATTTAGTTTTGATTTTTTTGATTAAAGAAAGTATTGCTAGGACAATTGCCATCTTTTGCATATATTCTGTATCTTGCCCATGCTGGCTTCTAACATATTCTCCTTATCCTTGAATAGTTTCTTCTTTTACTGTCATGTATCTAGATTAGAATTAATTTATTTGCTTGGCACTGACATGCATTTCAGTTTAAGAATCTAAATTACCAAGTTTCTGTGGTCTTTCTTTTTTAGAAACTTCTATTGAACATTTAAAGAAACTTCTTAATCTAGCACTCATACTTTTACATTGAACTTTTATTTATTTAACATTTACTTACCTCTGTCTTGCATCTTAATTTCTCAGGATCATCTCATTCCCATTTGGAATATTTTGATTGTTCTTGTTGGTAATAGACTGGTTGGTTTTATTTTGTTTCTGCCTTTTTTGCAAGAATTAATTTTTACCTCTATTATCCCTCTGTTTATCTCTTTGAAGAAACCAACATACTCATATTAAAGTGTATTATACACATATTTTATTTGAAATTCACACATATTCTGCTTTGTTAATGTACGTCCTTCTTAACATTAGGTATATGTACATATTATGCCCAGTTGGATTTATTTGTGTGAAATTATATTTTGATCATTTTTCCATTACTTGCTTTCTCCTTCTATACCTTCATCCTGTCCAGCTTTATTATTTCTTTTTTCAGTTAGCTGTTCCCTGTGGCCTTCTGTCCAAAATATAGGTCTTTAATCTTGGTTTGGGCTGATCTGTGTGCTTACTTTGGGGATGTAGGGAATTTATTCTTCAAAACAGTAGGTGGTTTGACTCAATCCCTGGTCAAGGGTTTGTGATTTTTCTCTTCCCACCAGCCTAGACTATAGGTTCATAAAAGCTTGAGTTTGGAGCAAAGGTCAGTGTTAGCATTCTGAAGCTTTCTTTTTGAAGCGTGGGAGGAGAATATGAACTACACATTTGACCTCTAGTTTCCATCCATGAGCTTGACTCCAGTCATTTTTGAATTGAATTTTGAATGAAAGTTTGTTTTTTTTCTCCTTGTTTCCCTCAGGTTACCTTGCATGAACAGAACTTCTGGCAACTCCTACCCGATTCTAGACCAAGAGAATAAGCTCTGGTGTTAGCCCTGTTCCCTGCTCTCTATTTTAGTTTTGATCTTTACTCTCAAAGATCTAATTTTGTACAGCTGACTTTTGCATTTTTATTGTACATTTTGTCCAGTATTTCCGTGATTTAGAATGAAAATGGGGTGCTTGAAGTTATAATGTTACAATGAATGGAAGTTGAAACTTTAATTATACAATTATTAACTGAAATATTTTCATTCTTCCTGCAGTTTGTTCCATAGAGCTATAGAAAAATATGATTGAACAAACGTTTGTATAATGCATTTGTGTAATTTTAGATATCACAATAGAAAATATAGTTAGGCCGGGTGTGGTTGCCTGTAATCCCAGCACTTTGGGAGGCTGAATCAGGAGGATCATGAGGTCAGGAGTTCGAGACCAGCCTGGCCAGCATGGGGAAACCTCATCTCTACTAAAAATACAAAAAATCAGCTGGGAATGGTGTTGCACGCCTGTAGTTCTGGCTACTAGGGAGGCTGAAACAGGAGAATCTCTTGAACCTGGGAGGCAGAGGCTGCAGTGAGCTGAGATCATGCCCCTGCACTCCAGCCCAGGTGACAGAGCGAGATTCTGTTTCAAAAAAAAAAAAAAAAGAAAAAGAAAACTACCGTTTTTTTTTTCTAATTTCCACCAAAGTAATGAGAATCTGATTTTTAAACATACACACACATATATTACACATATATGTGTAGTTCAAAAGACATTACACTAGGAAAATAATTAGAACAACACAGAGTGAAATGATTAGGAATATTGTTAAGTTTTATGCAATATCGTGGTTTGAATTTTGGTCAAGAAGTGGCAAAGAATTCATAACAAATCTACGCTGGACAAAGAAAAAGTACTAAGAAGATTGAAGGATGCACACAGATATTTGTTTTTGAGGACAGACTTTGGCTAATAGTGCTAGAGGCACAAGATAATTTATGCTCTCTTCCTCATCTCCAGATTTAAAGAAATCATCACGCCATGAAATCTTGGAAGCTTCTCTTTAGGTAGAGCCACATCAACTCTGAATGGCTGCATGGAGGACAAACCCCACCAATAGGTCCCCCTGCTGAGTGTTTTTATGTGAACAAAAAAAAATGTTTATTTTGTTTGAGACATTTTACATTTTTGAATTATTTATTAGAGCAGTAAGTCTACAGTCAACAATAGTTTACTTTATACTACTGAAATGGGGAAAGTTGCCTTGTCCCCCTCACAGGGCGTAAGACTAGGGTATGGCTGGCTTCTTCAGTGCCCCACTGCTCAAACCTCTAGGGGTTGCCTACAGATGGACAAACTGTGGGGCTCCGACCCCAATCCAGTGTTTAGGGGTGAGTGTTTACAGCTGAAGCCCCAGTGGGCATGTGTTACAGGGTGCTCTTTTTGTTTAGTTGTCCATAGGCGGCTTGTGTTCGTCAGGTCTATTAGACCCCTGCCTTATCGCAAGGACAGAGGTCTTTCTGTATCCTGGGGTTCTTGCCTTGGTGTACCAGAAAAATCAGATCACACATGGGCTTGGAGAATGAGTGCAAGGTTTTATTGAGTGGAAGTAGCTCTCAGCAGGTGAGGGAGCCATAAGGGAGATGGTTTTCCCCTGATGTTCTCTTGACGTCCAGCCGCTTGTGTGTTCCTCCATCTATGTGTTCCTCTTGACGTCCAGCCACATGTGTGTCTGCCCTTTAGGGTCTCAGAGTTTTATAGGCACAGAATGGGGACATGAAGGGCGAGGGTTGTCTTGGGAAATGCAACATTTGGGCACAAAGGCAGGAGTACCTGTCCTCACCTAGGTCCACGGACACAGGCTGGAGGTGGAGCCCTTGCCAGGGACCACACCATTCTCCTCCCATCACTTCCCTGTCCCTCCTTCTGTATCACTACCAATCACAATTAATATATCAAACACAATGTTAAGCATTTGTCTAAACTACCACTTACATATAACTTTTTATAACAACCATAAATAGTTACATTACATAAAATATGCCTAATGTCAATTATCCATTGCTCCATGAATTTTCATACTTATGAATCACAAAGTTAAATTAACAGAACAGAAACTTAGTTAATGTTCAGGTGCTATAATTCTACTTATATGAGGTATTAGAATGAACACAAAAGTAATAGATAAGTAACTGGTCACTGATAAACTAGTTTCTACATGGTAAGTAGGTTCTTCACAGTACTAAAATCGTGTCCTGTGAGTTTCTTCCACTTTGTTAATCTATCCTTATTTTACAGCTCTGATTGCTGTAAAACGTTACTATGAATAAAATTATATAGGATGACCATGGTGTTTTGTTTGTTTTAGTTTGTTTTCCTTTTTCTATGATTATGTGAATAGTTTGGAAGAGAAAAATATTTAGAAAGGAAGAAAAGATGATTAACAATTTTTTATAGTTTAGATGTGAGGCTGTTTATTCACTCATCTGTACATTCAAAATATATATTTATTATTTTGGAGCTATTGCAATAGATGAATGGCAGCAGGAATATTAATGGGAGGAATGATTTAAGAAGTAATCACATAAGAACATTTGACAAGGCATAAAAACTGCTTAAAATTATAGAAAGGTTGTTTTTTGTTGTTGTTTTTCCAATTTGTGACTTAATGTCTAACTTCTGTCAAATGTAAATATCACGGCATGGTGGCTCACTCCTGTAATACCAGCACTTTGGGAGGCCGAGGTGGGTGGATCACCTGAGGTCAGGAGTTCTAGACCAGCCTGGTCAACAAGGTGAAACCCTGTGTCTACTAAAAATACAAAAATTAGCCAGCGTGGTGGTGGACACCTCTAGTCCCAGCTACTTGGGAGGCTGAGGTAGGAGAATTGCTTGAACCTGGGAGGCAGAAGTGGCAGTGAGCTGAGATCACACCACTGCACTCAAGAAAAAATAATTAATATTTACATCTGTGGGAAGTTATATGATAATAAACTTCATTAAGTTATAAAACAGTGGGAACTGAATTTTCTCATGTAAATTTTTTCCTCAAAAAACAATTTGTGCCAAAAAATTAAATTTACAGTAAGACAATCTCTTCCAGAAAAGTTTGTTTCAGTTTGGACATGGTGCATATCTAAGAAGGAAAATGAAGCCAATGTTGAAATTCTTGAAGAGAAAGAATCTGGTTTTAATCATAGAGGTGATGGTTAAAGCAAATTAGATTAAGTCAATGATGGAGTCCACAAAAAACAAAAGAGAATGAATTATGAAGCCACTAATTTATATATTTATATTTTTAATAAAGAATATCTCCTACTTTATATGTATGTGACCTACCTAATCTTATTTGTAACATTTGCTTTGGAGTAATAGTATAGCAAGAAGTTTTTAAAAACCTAATATATTGTTTTGAATTCTATTGTATAATGTTTAAATAAATCTAGCGTTTATTATAGTGTACTTACGGGAATTTCTCAGGCAGATTGGAGTCGTATTAAGTTACAATTCAGTTATAATTTTTTAATCTTTAAGAAATACATTTTGTTGTCCTGGCGCAGTGGCTCAAACCTGTAATCCCAGCACTTTGGAAGGCCAAGGCAGGCAGATCACGAGGTCAGGAGATCGAGACCATCCTGGCTAACACGGTGAAACCTTGTCTCTACTAAAAATACAAAAAATTAGCCGGGCTTGGTGGCGGGCGCCTATAGTCCCAGTTACTAGGGAGGCTGAAGCAGGAGAATGGTGTGAACCTGGGAGGCGGAGCTCGGTAGTGAGCGGAGATCGCGCCACTGCACTCCAGCCTGGGTGACAGAGCAAGACTCCATCTCAAAAAAAAAAAAAAAAGAGAAATACATTTTCTTTTTTGCGTTTTCAAAGATGAAGAAGAAATAATCGTTTTTTGTTTGCTTGTGACCTAATGAGATCATTTTTGATACACATTTTTAATACACATAAAGACAACACAATTTATCATTATTTTAAAAACAGAATTGTCAGTTTCAGTTGTTATAAGTTACTGAGCTAATGCATGGATAAATAAATATTTCTTAAGTGTCCATTTACACACATCATTGAATGTTGCTTCCATTTCTGTTTTTGATAATCAAATATAAATTTACTTATACAATTTGAAAATATACAATAATATATAATTTAATTCTAAATGAGGTAGCAAATTTTGGAATTAGGATTTATAATGTTATTAATTATATTCATTGTGAAATTTAATCATGATTTAATTTTCCAAATATTTATATTTTTAAATATTGGCTTTCTTTGCAATTTTCTAACCAATATTTTTGCTTTCAGTAATTACTCTTTTTTTTTTTTAACTTTTCAATTCACAGGTCTATGTGCAGACTTGTAATTGTGTTTTATGGGGTTTTTTTGTATAGAATATTTCAACACCCAGGTATTAATCCTGGTACCCATTAATTATTTTCCTTGATCTTCTTCCTCCTCCCACCCTCCACTCTCTGATAGTCCCCAGGGTTTGTTGTTCCCCTCTGTGGGTCCATGTGTTCTAATCATTTAGCTCCCACTTATAAGTAAGAACATGCAGGAACAGTTGTTATTCTTGTTGGGTGTTTTTTGTTTTGTTTTGTTTTGAGTCAGAGTCTTGCTCTGTCACTCAAGTTAGAGTGCAATGGCGGAATTATAGCTCACTACAACCTTAAACTCCTGAGCTCAGGTGATCCTCCCACCTCAGCCTCCGGAGTAGCTGGGACTACAGCCATACACCACCACATCTGGCTAATTTTTAAACAGTTTTTGCGGAGAATAAAAATGTTGCCCAGGCTGGTTTTGAACACCTGACCTCAAGCAGTCCTCCAGCTTCAGCCTCCCGATGTGCTGGGATTAGAGGCATGAGCCACCATGCCCAGCCAGTTGTTTTTCAATAATTCATTTTCCAGAGTACTTCTCCATTATTATACTATCATGATTTTGACTTATACATTGCAAAATTTTGTTTTTATATGTATAGAGCTGCCTTAGACCCGTTGAGTACAAAAGCTCGTTTATCTGTTCAGGTCATAGTAGGCTGAGACACTTGGTGATATTTGTATGTTCTCCCAGGACAAAGCTAACTTGTAGGAAACTATTCCTCTATAAAAATATATAATGGACATAAAAGTATCTGTTGGTCTTGCAATGCATAATTTTGTTTTTCTATATACATATGGGATATTATGTTAAATATTTATCTTCATTTTAACATGATCAAATTACCTTAATACCTGAGTTTTCTATGTAATATTTTAGCCAATATACATGATGAGAGAGTAGCTTCTGGATAACAGGGAAACACGATAGTCAAATCATAAAACTAATATTAATAGTAAAAAACAACAAATCCTGAGTATACTCAATACTGGGTTCATATAAAGCAAATAGAAATGTATGCAATTTAATTTACTTTTTTATTGTGTATATTTAAAACTAAAAAATAATGTTTTAATATACATCTGTGTAGTGAAAATATTACTATAGGTAAACAAAATGCCCTTCACTTGAAAACTAAGAATAAAATCCATTCTATTTTTATATATATTTTAAAATTTCAACTATTCATTCATTTGCATAAATTGATCTGTTTGAAAATATTATTATAATGGATGAGGATTACATAATAGGCTAAAAATGCCTTTAAAAAGCTGTTGATGGCCGGGTGCAGTGGCTCACACCTGTAATCCCAGCACTTTGGGAGGCTGTGGCAGGCGGATCACCTAAGGTTGGGAGTTCGAGACCAGCCTGACCAACATGGAGAAACCCCGTCTCTACTAAAAATAAAAAATTAGCAGGGCTTGGTGGCACATGCCTGTAATCCTAGCTACTCAGGAGGCTAAGGCAGGAGAATAGCTTGAACCCGTGAGGCAGAGGTTACAGTGAGCCAAGATCGTGCCATTGCACTCCAGCCTGGGCAACAAGAGCAAAACTCCGTCTCGGAATCAACAGCGATTTTTTTTTAATGTAGGATTTTTTTAAATATAAAAATGCAGATAATACTAATGAAACTTAACATAAGAATCTGTCTTTACCATTGATCTATCAAGAAAAACTAGTAATTGCCAGTATTATGCTATAATTTTAGAGGAATGGAATTATAAGAATCTTCTACAAGACATTCAGACCCTGACACTCGTACTATTTGTTTATTTAATTATTGATTTCAGTAATTCTAAAAATACTAGGAAATTTTCACGTATCAGAATATTCTGGAGGCATCAACATTGTAATTAGCTTTATGTACGAATTTATAATAGACATTTTTAAACTATGGCAGTTCTAAAAGCATATGTTAATTAGCCACGAGCAAGACTGTATATACCTTGCAACTCAAGAAAAATATAACTGGTTTAATTTCTATATCTTTGGACAATACATGGGGCAAGTCAGCACCATGCTAGAATACATGCCAGATGCTGCTGCTGCTGCACAGATCACGATTTGAATGTTGAAGTGCTAGACTCCCTACTTTCTCAGTTGCCTCATTTTATACATAGTAAGTATATCATATACCTAAAGTTATACTGTGTACTTCTTACATAGACATACCCATAGCTTAATATAGTGGAATCCATAAGGCTTTAGTGAATAGTTGAGGAATTATAACATGATCATCATATCCAAGCCTGCAAGAATGATTATTTGGTTTAGATTTCTCATACTATCTAATTTGGAATATTTAGAAGAGTGCCAAAAACAGTGTATATTGTGGGTTACTTATGAAAATATAGCTGTAAAAATATAATGTTGCAGGCCAGTATTAGTTACTGATGTTATTAAAAGATCATATCATTCCCATTAAATTAATAGGCAACTGGATTTTCTTTATAATTTTTGCTCAAACAGGAGAAATTTTTTTGAGAAAAGATGAGGAATGTTAATACTGAAAGTCAAACGTCAGCCTCTCTCAGTACAAATTCAAGTACTTTAAACACTTCCATGAAGACCTCCAGAAGATAGAAAATTATTATTATCAGAGGGCCATCCGTTATTGAGTACCCACATTTTCAGAAGTCGTCATCTGCTACCCAACCAAAAGTATTCCTTCAGTATTCCTATAGTAATTCTTAAAAATTTTTGTCATTAGTTTGTCATTTTCCTTGTGAACTTCCTGGTCTTCCCCTTTACACTCTCACACTATTGAATCCACATTTTACTAACATCACATAAAGCACTCAAACTTCAGTATGGCTACTGTCTCCAGTGGATTTTGTTTCTTTCATATTATCAGCTGTCAGGAATATCTCCATATTATGGGTTCCGGTATCCTGTTACTTCCATTAGCTCCTGAGAAAGTCAAAAGTGAAAGGCAAACATTAAAAGATTCTCTGATTCAACAACATGAGAAGTCAAGCCAAAGTGAGGTAGTGAGGTTCTTCATAACACTTAGTTACAGAACTGATGTGTTTTCCTTATTACACGCGGACTCTTTGACCCCTTAGTAACCTACATTAGGAGATCAGGATCCATACTTTTATCTATATTGGAACTTTATCCTAGGCTCCACCCCTTCCTTTTCTGCTCTGCTATATAACATTTTCTTTTTGTATTTTTCCTTTTTTTTCTGAGTAACACAGTTCCCAAAATCACACACTGATATTGTTTTTTCCAACTCTGAGTTCATAAAAATATTAATAGACTCCACAGGAATATAAAAGTAAAATCATGCTTTTTAAATACATTGTTTGGCACTACTACCTGTGATTTCCATCTGGCATGCAGCTATTCTTCAAATATTTCAGTGCATGAAACAGCAGCTAGTTGTCTGAGTGGATAGTATTAGAATATTCTGGGTTGACGGGAAATTTAGAACAGAGAAGGGAGGTAGGGCAAGGGGAATTATTATGGATGGATGTTGAAAATTGTTTTTAAATGAAATAATCAAACAATGCATACCTTCTATAATAATATTCAATATGTACAATTGTTTATAAATAACGCTGACAAATATAATTATTAAACCATCCCTACATCCCTTGTATAACACTCACTTGCTTATGGTAGATTATCTCCGATATGTTGTTGGATTTGGTTAGCTAGTATTTTGTTAGGGTTTTTAGCATCTATGTTCATCAGGAATATCGATCTGTAGCTGTCTTTTTGGCTATGTCCTTTCCTGGTTTTGGTATTAGGGTTATGCTGGCTTCATAGAATGAATTAGAGAGGGTTCCCTCTTCTCTGTCTTGTGGAATAGTGTCAAAAGGATTGGTACCAATTCTTCTTTGAATGTCTGGTAGAATTCTGCTGTGAATCGCTCTGGTCCTGGACCTTTTTTTGTTGGTAGTTTTTAAATTACCATTTCAATCTCTCTGCTTGTTATTGGTCTGTTCAGGGTATCTAATTCTTCCTGATTTAAGCTAGGAAGGTTGTATTATTGCAGGAATTTATCCATCTCTTCTAGGTTTTCTAGTTCATGTGCATATTGGAGCCTTGAATGATCTTTGGTATTTCTGTGGTGTCAGTTGTAACATCTCCCGTTTCATTTCTTATTGAGGTTATTTGGATTTTCCCTCTTCTTTTCTTGGTTAACCTTGCTAATGGTCTATCAGATTTATTTATCTTTTCCAAGATCCACCTTTTTGTTTCATTTATGTTTTTGCATTTTTTAAATTTAAATTTCATTTAGTTCTGCTCTGATCTTGGTTACTTCCTTTATTCTGTTGGGTTTGGGTTTGGTTTTTTCTTGTTTCTCTAGTCCCTTGAGGTGTGATTCCACATAAATAGAATTAAAAGCAAAAATCATATGATCATCTCAATAGATGAAGGAAAGGCATTTGACAAAATCCAGCATCCCTTTATGATTAAAACTCTCAGCAAAATCAGCATACAAGAAACATACCTCAATGTAATAAAAGTCATCTATGACAAATCCACAGCCAACATAATACTGAATGGGGAAAAGTTGAAAGCATTCCCTCTGAGAACTGGAACAAGACAAGGATGCCCACTTTCACCACTTGATCTTTTATTGGCTTCTTGATCTTTTATTGTATCCTCAAGCAAAGACCAAAAAGAGGATTGAATAAAGATAAAAACTACTGCAAAGAATACTTCACTTCATTGATAATAAATAACATGTTAGGCAGAATTGAACAGTACCTACTACTCATGACTACCTGACTAGAAGACTCAAAACTGAAATGAAGAGAGAAATAAATTTCAAACTGATCAGACATCTTTAATCACTAGATCTAGGGAAATTTAAGGTAATAGCTTATGATTTCCACCCGGAGGATCATTAGAAGAAAATGTCTTTATAAATACAAAATAGTTGTTCATAAAATATCAGAAAATATGTTTTTCAAAGTAACTGATAACAGAGTAAATGAAAGGTAACACCTGCAAGGCATTGTCCTTTTTGATATATGAAGGATTACACAGTTTATGCAGCAATTGTGGTACAATAACTGTAGCTTTATCTTTTTAGAAAGGAAACTGAAATAGATTACATGGAGAGAAAGTAACTTGTTCAAGAGAATAAACAGTGGTTATGGGTTTCAAATCCAACATTCATACTCTAGATCTTTTCTTCTGAATTAATATTTTATGTATTATAGACTGTCAATCTCCATAATTGTCAAGAAAATCTATTTAACCCAATTCAACATTTATCTTGAGAGGGATATGGAAAGAATCCTTAATCAGGTTTACTTGATTATGGACACATTCTATGACTATGGGCCTCTTCTCAGAGGATGCTAATATGTCTGATTTATGTTTATCTTTTTCTTCTTTCTTAAAGTTCAAATCCCATTCAAATTTCAATATGTAACTTAAAAACCACCACATAATTCATTAAATGTAAGTAGTATCTCCTTGCTTTAAACCATCGTATTACTTTCTCCATAACTTTACTGGGACACATAATAACTTGCAAGATAATAAAAATGATTACAAAAGTAAACAAAAAAGTAATTTTTAAAAGTAAAGAAAAAAATGTTATTTTTAAAATGTTAAAAGAGCACAAAATTGTTGCTCCTAAAAATATATAAAGGTCCAAACACTGACTCTGCAATTTGCTAATCATGTAAACTTGGTCTTAACCCATCTGCACCTTGGTTTCCTCATCTTTAAAATAAGCCTTATAGCCTGACTGCATAAGATTATGAAATGTGATAGTTTCTACAAAGTGTATAGCACAAAATCCAAAACACTGTAAGAGCTGAATACATGAACTTCATCTGAGGATCTGGAGACTCAACTCTTGTCTTCACTTTGTCACTGCCTTTAGAATTTTGGCATTCTAAGTTTTTAAGTTACATATT
Source organism: Homo sapiens (assembly GCF_000001405.40). NCBI lineage: Eukaryota > Metazoa > Chordata > Mammalia > Primates > Hominidae > Homo > Homo sapiens. Next base: position 84,346,781 of record NC_000013.11, read on the forward strand.
GAAATTTGTTATAACTTCCCATTGTACATTTATCCATTCAATCAATATTTATTGGATGTCTATCACGTATAAAACTCTGTGCTCAGATTTAGGAAAATACTTCTGTATAAATGAGATGGGAATACAGTTACACAAAAATCTTCACGGAAAATGGCCCCTGTCTTACTGTCTAGATTCAGTCCAAATGAATTGTGACAGTTTACCAAAAGATAGATCAATCTACCAATGTATAATGAAAAAACTTAAAGTCTTGGAAAAATTATACTAAACAGCAAAAAAGCAGGAATAAACTTGGTAGAGATAATACAAACTGTGAAATTCTGTATCCTTTATATGGCTGCAACTCAACCTTGTCAGTGATAGTTTTAAGCTCGTCAGTCTGTTTGGCCAACCAAAGAGAAATTCAATCATACAATTTAACATGATAAGGAGAGCAAAACGACCCCAAAAACTACTTAATACAAATTGTTTTGATTTTTTTTTTTTTTTGAGATGGAATCTCGCTCTGTTGCCCCACCTGGAGTGCAGTGGTATGATCTCTGATCACTGCAAGCTCCACCTGCTGAGTTCACGCCATTCTCCCACCTCAGCCTCCCGAATAGCTGGGACTACAGGCGCCCGCCACCACACTCGGCTAATTTTTTGTATTTTTTTTAGTAGAGACGAGGTTTCACCATGTTAGCCAGGATGGTCTCGATCTCCTGACCTCGTGATCCGCCCGCCTCAGCCTCCCAAAGTGCTGGGATTACAGGCGTGAGCCACCACGCCCGGCCAATTGTTTTGATTTTTAAAACTAAGTTAAATAACTTTTGTGCTCACTCATAAAAAGAATAAAGTGATATATAGTGAACAATGACCCCCAAAGCATCACTGCAGTCAATATAATAACAAGTTTCATTAGATGGTTTTTAGAACTCTCTCTCAAATAAACTGGTGACATAATGTATTATGAGAGTTTAATAATTGCAATTCTATGCTGAACTAGTCTTTGACCTTAGGTAAATTACTTTCGCTTCTGTGAGTCATTTCTCCAATCTTTAAAAAGAAAGGCTGAACTAGATAATTTCTTAGGCCTTTTCAGTCCAAAATATATTTAATACATTTTGTATAATTAACTTTCCACACTTGCTACCCTACATCAACATGTATTCAGTGAAAAGGAGACTAAGCAGCACTGCATTATGCCACTTTTAAACCATTTTGCCCACAGAATCATTTCTTCCAAACAAATTTGGTTCAAATAACATAGAAATAGATAAATGGAGATATAGAAGCAAGGCTGGTCTGGTTGCAGTTGGAGTGGAGGTCCCAGACCTCAGCTTCTCCTGCTGCCAACAGTTCTGCACATCTGCCTTCAAGCTAATTCTACGAACACTAGGGCACCAAAGAACAAATCTGGAAAGTAACTGTAATGAAAGGAGCACACAGGCATTGAATGCAGACCTTCCAGATTTAAATACAGTTGGACCTTTTGTAACCATTCTACATTACTGGATTCAATCAATTATGGATCAAAAATATTTAAAAAAATTTGTGCCTGTATTGAATATATACTGACTTTTTCTTTTAATTATTCTCTAAATAATACAGTATAACAACTTTTTACAAAACATCTCCATTGTATTAGGTATTATAAGTAATTAGGATTTAAAATATAGTATATGGGAGGATGTGCACAGGTTATATGTAAATACGATGCCATTTTATATCAGGGATGTAAGCATCCACAGATTTTTGTATCCATAGGAGGTCCTGTAACCAACCAACCATGGAGACTGTTGGAACACTACACTAAATTTAACACTCATTAGCTGTGTGAAGGCATGTCCAGGTTCAGTAACATTTCAAACAATCTGGGAGGATCTTCTTTTAAGAAAAAAAAATACAGGACCATAAACACAAAAATAGGCACAGCACCTTAAAAGAAGTGGGATAACAGAGGGGTCCTGAAGCTTATCTGAATGACTTTGTATGATGATTTACTTAGCTTATCTAAATCTCAGTTTCCTCAGCTAAATAAATAGAGTAAAACAACTCTTGAAGTTGATTGTGGATTAAATTAGATGTTTGTGATGCACAGTACAAAGGGACAGGCTATCAGGGAAAAATTATATATGTTAACTCTACTATACTCACATAAAGGACACGCTCATGAAAAATTCTACTGACAAATTGAATAGGCAAAGAACACTTTATTCAAGAGTATTGGATTATGGGACAGAGATTGAATTCTACTGAAACAAAAGCTGAAAGGTTTTTTAGCACTAGAGTGAGCTGTTGAAAAGGCTCTGGAGGACATGTCACAGGAAGGTGGTCAAGGTAATTATGTCTCTGTGTTTCCTAACCTGTGCTTATTAACATGAGGCTCCTACCCTCCCGTCGAGACTGGGAGATTGGGGTGTTCAACCTTTTTCACTGAACAACTTAGAAATTATGACAGATAACATTATACTCTTGTTACTGAGTATCAGCAAAGCAGCACCAATATATATCACAGACAGTGAGGCATTGACTAATTTCTGGGAACTTTAAAGTTTCTTAAACATTTATATTAATAACATTTTACCTAGAAAAGGTTAAATATAACCTAAGGAAGGTTAAGGTTTCTTATTATTAGACAGTACTTTAAAAGCAACTCAACATATCAAATAAACCTAATTATTCTTGACACCTCTCATTTTACTAGGTGAAAAAAATCCTTTCTGACTTTCTAGGGGACTTTTGGGAAATTCTAAAGTCATTTTGAGATTTAAAAAAAAAAAGGTTTCATTTAAGATTTGATTTTGGGTCGCTGAAATATCCAAAAATGTGAGAAGTTTTGGACTCTTGACTAAAAGGATTATTTGTCATTAAGAAATACTTGGCAGCCAGCTGAGGTGGTTCACGCCTGTAATCCCTGCACTTTGGGAGGCCGAGGCAGGTGGATCACCTGAGGTCAGGAGTTTGAGACAAGCCTGGCCAACATGTTGAAACCCCGTCTCTACTAAAAATACAAAAAAAAATTAGCTGGGCATGGCGGTGCGCTCCTGTAATCCAGCTACTCAGGAGGCTGAGGAAGAAGAATCTCTTAAACCCGGGAGGTGGAGGTTTCAGTGAGCAGAGACTGCGCTGCTGCACTCCAACCTGGGCGACAAGAGCAAAACTCTGTCTCAAAAAAGAAATACTTGGCTATCTACTTAAACAAAGTGGCAGTAAGGGATTTCAAAACAAACAAGGAGGTAACATGATTGAAAAAACAATAAAACAACAATAACAAACTTTAGCTCTTTATTAAAGCAAAAGACTGGGTTCACTAAAGTAATCAAACCCTTGATAAAATCAACTTAAAACACAGGAAATTATCCTAACATGACACAGAATTTGTGATTTCTAAGCAGATTACTCAGAAGATAAAGAAAACAAAACTTTTGGAATCTCTTGTTAAGAGCAGACCGATAATCCAAGAAAATGTCATTTTAACAGAGAGAAAAACAAGTTCTAGTTTTGCATCATTACACTATTGATACTAAAAGTCATAAGAATAATAACAAATAAACCCATCCAATCTTAACTAGACTTGGAGGTACAAAATAGAATTTCATTCCTGAGAAACCTTCTATGGCTATCCATATCTATTTAGGTTTCATGCATATTCTCTTCTCATTCTGGAACTAGTCATTTTCCTTTAGAAAAAAATTACTTTTTTTGGCAACAAAAACATATTCTACAAACTTTCATAATTTTCTTTAACAAAGCAAATCATAAACTTCTTGCATCCTCTGAATACAAGGTTGTTTTCCCTTGTACTTATTATTTCTAGTCGTTTCATTCACATATATTGATTATAATTTTAACTAGTCCTAACATACTTTACAGACAAAACTAGGAAATAGACCACTGTGAACTGTTCTATATCAACACTCTACAGCAAATTAATTCAGTTTATGAATATACCATCTTGTAATATTTATAGGTCTATAATTTCTTATGGTATTATTTTTCAAACTTCTTTAGCAGATACGCAGTACACTGGCATTAGCCCTTGAATGGGGAATATGGTCCACTGGTTACCAATCCCAGGAGAAGACTCTAAACATCTCACCAATTTCTGCCAAGTTTTCTTGATCTGGCAGGAAGTCTTGCCCAAACCCCCCTTAAAAGATTTTGCACAAAGGGCAGGTGCAGTGGTTCACGCCTATAATCCCAGCACTTTGGGAGGCAGAGGGAGGTAGATCACCTGAGGTCAGGAGTTCGAGACCAGCTTGACAAATATGGTGAAACCCCGTCTCTACTAAAAATACAAAAATTAGTCAAGCATGCTGGTGGGCGCCAGTTGTCCCAGCTACTCAGGAGGCTGAGCAAAAAACATTTTGCACAAACTCAAATGCCAGAGTATGAATACAATGAGACAGAACACTCTCACAACAGGTTCTGCAAATCAAATTTGTCACTCACAGATAGAGTGCAAGAATCAACAGAAGCCCAGGCTCCATGACCAGCTGGTCTCCACTGCTCAGGAAAGCTGCCCAGTGCAGATGGAGTCTCGTTTGTGCATGCCTCACTTCACACCTCAGCTGAGGGATCCCCAAAGCATTCCACGCTGGGATTTTATACTCTGGGAAACACTTGTTTCCCTGAGCTAAAGCACTGTAGGGCATCCTGTTCTAGGAGGGACAAGGCCAAAACCTGAGCTGCTCTGAATAGTTCCTCCTTATATCAGGGCACTACCTTTTTAGCATATTCTACAGTTATCCTGAGACCGTATGTGGGAAGAGGAAGGGCTGGGTCACCCAAGGTTATTTTGGGACTGTCCTTCTGCAAATGTGGCCAAAATAACATGTTTATTAACAAACCCAATATTTTTAGCTTCTCTGTATCATGTAAACATCAGTCAAAAGTATATAAACTTACACATATACTTGCTAACGAATGTTTCACTAGTTTATTTAGTAATGATCTAAATGTTTAATGGATATCTATTACTTAATTGGGCATAAGTTTCATGTTGTGAGTTATCAAAAAACTTTTGAAAAGTATTTTTAAGCAGACATATAAAACATAATTAGGGTTGAAATACGAATTTGTCAGAATAATGACAAAATTTGATTAAAATCAAATTTGTTAATAATTTTAAACATCTGGTAGAAATAATATTTACTACTAAACCCAAGTAAAATAAAAATGTATGCTTGTATCATATTTAATGGAGAGAACTCAGAAAACAAAGCAGTTTTTATTAAATCAAAAATATTAAACTAGTCTTATTTGACAAAGATTTATCTGATTCATGTGAAATTAAAATTTTAAAACATTTGGGCAAGATTTTATAATATTTTTAAAAAATACATTGTAAGTATTAAAAATTCAACTTTAAAAATTTTTGACAGGTTTAGGAATATTTAATTTATGTAAGCACTTATGTGTGTCTATAATTTAGCACACGAGGTCATCACATATGTGGTCTCCACAATCAAAAAGAACTCTAAATGTTAAATAAACAAAGTTCGATCAAACAAAAGCTCATTACAATAAGAGCATGTGTATTAGTCCATTTTCACACTGCTAATAAAGACATACCCAAGACTGAGTAATTTATACAGGAAAAAGGGTTTATTGGGCTTACATTTCCACATGGCTGGGGAGGCCTCAAAATCATGGCAGAAGACAAAAGGCACATCTTACATTGCAACAGGCAAGAGAGAGAATGGACCCAAGAGAAACGAATTTCCCCTTATGAAACCATCAGATCTCGTGAGACTTATTCACTAACAGGAGAACAGTATGGGAGAAACTGCCCCAGTGATTCAATTATCTCCCACCGGGTCCCTCCCACAACATGAGGGAATTCTGGGAGTAGAACTCAAGATGAGATTTGGGTGGGGACACAGAGCCAAGCCATGTCATTGTGGCATTAAAGTCAATTCCTGTAGTGGTCAGAAGTTTAGAGCAATAGCTCAGAAATAAGTTCCCTGATCAATCCATCATCTGGGAAGGCAAAAGTTAAAGGTATAAGCCTGGGGCTATGGGTACCAGGCTCTCTGAGACCCAATGATGAGTCAAATCCTATGAGTTGCATACCAGAACTGTTAAAGAAAAGTAGCACCATGGTAAATTAGCAAGGTGATAGGAGAGAGATTGAACTTAACTCCCATGAAACAAAAAGCAAATTTTTTTAAGCACTGGAGTGAGCTAGTGGAAAGTTCTAGAAGACTTTGGTAGAGAGATTTGTCCTGTGATTAGGTCATCCATCTGTGTTTGCTAATTGGCACTTGTTGAAATTAGACCCCTACCTTCCACAGAGACTGGGAGTAAGCAGACTACATTTTTAGACTATTATATTCCAAAGAAATGTCCCCTAGGCCCATGCAATAGACATTCCTTGGTTGTAAAACTAGCAAGAGGCTGAGAGAAGATTTGTATGTAATTTAAGGGTCAGAGAAAGAATTTGAACTTACAAGTTTTCTAAGAAAAGGGAGGTCAGGGGCCTAGAGTTAGGAAGATACTTTTTAAAATTTAGCTAAGCTGAGGGGAATGTCTTGGTGAGTTAATGTGGGTCATGTACAGCCTCAGAATTATGTGTCATAATCATCACTAATTGAAGCAAATAAAATTTTTAAGAGAAAAAAGGAAAAAAGCATTCCATCTTATACATTATCTTTTTTGTTTTTTCTAACTGCACATCATGGTTGCTCAAAAATAACTTATTCAATGAAAGAACCATTCTGAAGTCACCAAGAACCCAGAAATCAGACTCAGCTACTAGAGGGCAATCAGTGTGGCCAAAAGACACACAAGGTTTTCCACAAAGATGAGAGGAAAATGTAATAGGGGAGCGCCATTATTCAGGCTCACAGTGCATAGAAAATAGAAACAAAAATCAGCAGGAGAGGTAATGCCTAAGGGACATAAAGTTTTGAATAAGCTAGAAATTTTCGCCACCCCCTTAAAAACAGGGAAGAATTGGTCCCTGAGTAGACTTCAGGCTTCTCTTGGACGTAGGTAAGGTATGTGTACCAAAAAATTTAGATTGTTCCAATTCAACTTATTTAAAAATTTTATAGGCCAGGCGCGGTGGCTCACGCCTGTAATCCCAGCACTTTGGGAGACCAAGGCGGACGGATCACAAGGTCAGGAGATCGAGACCATCCTGACTAACACGGTGAAACCCCGTCTCTACTAAAACTACAAAAAATTAGCCGGGCATGGTGGCGGGAGCCTGTATTCCCAGCTAATCAGGAGGCTGAGGCAGGAGAATGGCGTGAACCCGGGAGGAGGAGCTTGCAGTGAGTCGAGATCGCACCGCTGCACTCCAGTCTGGGCGACAGCGCAAAACTCCATCTCAAAAAAAAAAAAAAAAAAGATTTTATTTCTTATGAAAGAATTCATGTGGCATTCACCATGCCACTGTTTTAATTTTGTCACACTATATGAAACAACTACCAAACTTAAAATTACATTTTAAGCCATTGAGTATCTTGCATTAAACAAGTTCTTAGTGCTTTTGTGTATTAAAATATCTCGTTTTATTTCCCATAGAAAATCACAATTCATATCATTTTTGACTCAAGATAGATACAAATAATATGTCAATAATCACTAATTATAGTCTGCTGTGAATGAACTCCATATATACACACATGCACACTTATACATCATACATTTAATTGATTAGCATTTTTAATAGCAAAATGTTTTTAAAGGAGAAAACATGACGAGGCAAAGGAACCTGACAAGATGTGGAAGTTTATTTGACTTTAAGGTTTATAAATTATAGCTAAGCCATGAAGAACTTTCATATCAAGAAAATGTTATTTATTATGTATAAGTAATGAGTACAGCTCATCTTGCCTTTGATTTATTTTTGAAAATCTTAGAGAAATGCCCATAAGCTGCTGAAACACAACAGACTACAAAATGCTTCAGAAACTAGAAAAGCAGAATTTAAAATTTAGTACTTTGGTGTTTGTTATGCTGTACAATTTGTCAAATACTCCCAATTTTATTATTTGTAAATATTTAAATATTTCCAAAATGTTCTTTTTATGAGCATGTATTAATACTTGAAAAGAATTGCCAATCAAATTCATATGAATGACCACTAAAACGTATAATATACACAGGAAAGGAAAAAATGTGCAATTATGAGATCAATATTAACCAAGGAGAGAGCCAGACTGAATACCTTTAAATACAGGCATTCTTATAATCATATTTGATACTATCTATGCTTCCACCCTGACTTTCTTTACTTCATAGCCTAAGAACCAAGGACATCCAGAGACTTCTTTGAAGGACAGGAGTGTGAATCCCTAAAAATTATTTTGAGTCATATCTGAAAGTTTGTTGTGACATACAGTGATGCCATGAAATACTGTTCTGTAGGTGGTTTAACTAAGTTTGCCAGACAGATTGATGATTAATTCACCTTTGTCACTAATTTTTTGATGTAGGTACAGATTTCCATTTGAGATTTCTGTACCTTATTTCTTTGACAGCTTTCCCAATCTTGCCCTAAACAACCAAAAACTGAACACATTGTGTGTTTTGTTTGGCAACTGAGTGCAAAACAAAAATTAGCATGTTGTGTCAGATCCATGATTGATACACTTTAATGCTTGGCTTCTGACGGTTGGATTAGGAATTTATGTTAGAAGATAGTTTCCCCACTGAGTTTCCTAGGTATGATTGACTCCTTTACTGAATATTGCTGCCCCTCTGTGAGCATTGGTTTCCATTGTAATTAGCAGTATCAAAGTTTGGTGGGAGCCATTGAAGGCCCAAAGCTGCTTTGTATTCTAAGGATACCAGGGCAAGATGGATACCCCTTCTTGAGTTATCATCTCTAGAGTGTCATCATAGCAGTATTACCTGCACTCGCATGTCCTAAAAAAAGTTTTACTGAAAATTTAATAATAATAACTGATAGCCCCCCTTTTTTCCCTGGGTCACAAACAAAAGTTGATTAAAGCTTGAATCCTAAGCTTGTATAGATTAATACAAGTTAAAGAGAACCACTGTCCTCAAAAATCACACTGTCTATTCTCCTATGCATCAAGCTATTTACTTATATTTATTTTTATTTGCTTCCCTGATTTGCTTAGAATGCATTCTCTCCAAGTAACCTATCTGATTTTCAAGCAAACTGATGTGCATCATTAGATCATCAGATGGCTGCAGATATATCTCTGTTTTCTCTGTAAAACCAGTTTAAACTCAAGCTTGACAGTTCCACACCGAAGTGTTTATTTTGTTTTTAACACAGATTAACTTCTAAAGTTACCCATTGTATAATACAGCATTCAGAATTCTTAAGTTCAAATGTGAGTAGTAAAACTTTTGACTTCATTAACAAGCTTCTTTCTTTTAATTTTCTCCTATTCACTGAATTTGTGAAGGTAACCAGTATTTACCTTCCCCCAAACCCTGTGAAAGAAATGGTTCTGTTATTCATATTTGCATTCTAAAACTGTATGCAAACTCTACCTCACTGAGATAGGGAATAAAAGAAATCAGCTGTAGGGGAAAACATGTTCCCTGCTGTGCTCTCTTCTGAGTGTCATACAAACGTGTACTACTTCGATCCTTATGTGAATTGAATTTGGGACCAACTGAATGTTACTCAACAATATTTGGTAGAGCTGTGGTTGAACTCAGGCAGTGTGGCTTCAGAGACTTCAGCCATGGCCCTCACTAGACTACATCTTTCTTCCTTTTAGCCATTCTAGAAATGAAGAACTTCCTTCCTTAAAATACTGGCAATCAGTTTCTTTTCTTTTGCATACCACTGGATCCTCCCTATGCAAAGCAGGGATATTTATTAATATGAAAAATGTTGAACATGTGCTATTCCCGCCTTGCCATAGGAATAGAGGTAGTGTTAGATGTTATGTGATTGGTTTGCTCTCTTTGTCCGTAGTCTACTTTGGTGGACTCAGATTACCTGTGTAAAAACTCACACTCCTCACAAGTGGGTTGTAATATCCAGGGTGAAGGTGGCAGTCATCTCAAGTTCGAGCTATGTTCACTAAACCCAGCCTCACTAGGAACAAAAAAACGAGTATGTTTCTCACCATTTTGCAACTGTGCCTATTATTCAATTGGTTCAAAACTAAGTTTGGACTGTTGCTTCTTTAATTTCCACTATTATAATACTATGCTAACATTTGTTGAAGGCTTACTATGGGTCTCTCAAGCACTTTTTAAAATGCAAATTGAATATAGCAACACTATGACACAGGTTTTAGTATCTCCATTTTACTCATGAGGAAAACTTTGTTTTAGACAATTTAAATATCTTGACAGTTATTTGAAGTGCTTATATCTAGTGAATAAAAGAGTCATGTTCTATTCAGAATCTTGTACTCTGTGTTCTGTTTGATTCCAACTAATAAATAGCTGATGGCCTATCAGAAGCTCAGTGGAATGTTTAGCATGCAAACAAATTATTATTATTATTAGAAATGTATAAAGCTGCTTTGCTGTTTCTTGCCTTCATTCCATCCCTGTCTTCCAGGATGTGATATAATGTGAGGAAGTCGCCAAAGACTAAACATTCTTGGAAAATATTGCCTTAGCTAAATAAAGATAATGTAGAAAAGTTATATCAGTGTAATAGAACAATCTAATTCCCTTTTTCTATTTTCCAGTTCGTTTCAGTTATCGAAGTACATTTGTCAGTTCTGCTTTTCCTATGAATAATATGTATTATGGTAATAGAATTGTCTTTACCATAAAAGCATAAAAACACAGGGGGAAATATAGGTTTAACAAACTTCCAACTTATCTATTATATAGAATCTGATAAAGGCAATTTATAAGAAAATTTCATCATGGAATGCATTAATTGTGTATATTGTTTGGGATTAGGGCTGCACTTTCACAAACAAATATTCTAAGACATTTAAAATTGTAAATATCAAGGGATTCTGTTGTCATCTAATCTAAATGGCTCACAGAAATTGTTTACATGCAAGAAAATATTTTTTAAAATGTATTACCAGAAAACTTACTGATATCAAATTCCAGTGAGGAATAATATTCTAAACTAAACTCCATTCTGATGCAGCTTATACTCTTTCTCAGAGATTCATATCAGATTATGGAAAGCAGAATTCAATACCTTGAATAAAAGAAGGCATCGGCTTTTGAGCCACATAAATAAAGGTTTGATTATGACTCCACTACTTAGCACCAACAGGGCTCTGAGTAATTTTTAATTTTATTTTATTATTATTATTTTTGAGACAGAGTCTTGCTCTGTCAGCCAGGCTGGAGTGTAGTGGCACCATCTCAGCTCATTGCAACCTCCACCTCCGGGGTTCAAGCGATTCTCCTGCCTCAGCATCCCAAGTAGCTGCAATTACAGGTGCCCGCCACCACGCTCAGTTACTTTTTTTGTATTTTTAGTAGAGACAGATTTCATCCTGTTGGCCATGTGTGCCAGGCTGGTCTTGAACTCCTGACTTCATGAGTTTCACCTGCCTCTGCCTCCAAAAGTGCTGAGACTATAGGCATCAGCCAGTGCGGCTGGCCACTGGGAGTAATTTAAATAAACTTTCTTTGTTCTTTTTATTAAAACGGGGATGGAGATGCCTAGATGCGTTCTGTATATTAATTGAAATAGACATAAAACACAAGTGTATTTTAGGTGCTGAAAAGTATGAGTAGTAAATATTGCTTAAAGTGTTGCTCTATGTAAAATATAATTGGGATGAAAAAGTGAAAACACATGAACTGAAAAAAATGGGGTGCTTGACATATACAGCCAACAAACATATACGCTTGTCCAGAGAGCCCCAGACTTCTGTGTGTGAACATAAAATGCCCACCTTCTTCCACATGACCTTAGAAATAGCAATTATGTTTCTTATTAACTTTGCCAACATTTCCCATGTTATATCATTATGCTGTTTTAAGTACAGCACAGAAAACAGTTCTAAACTATGGTGAATGAATCAATGCCACGGTGACTCTCTCTCTAAATTCCTAAGTTTGGATTCCACTGTTCTCGAAGTAGACTGTAGCTATGTACCATCTCAGTAATAGAATAAATCAGCTGTTACAGCAGGCCTGATGTACTCCTAGATTACAAAACCACTGTTTACTATAATTATCCCCGGTACAATGCAATGTTTAAGAGTACGGAGCTTGGAGTCCAGCAGCCAAAGCTTGAATTATTATTTTGATGCATTCAGCCATTTTAGTTTGGAGAACTAAATTGGCACACCTTATCTTGAAAAACAGGATGATAACATCTATCTGGATATGTAATTTGTGGACATCATAGGAATCCAATTCTTGTTGAATGAATGAATAAATGCATGAATGTAGTCATGAATGACTTGAAACAACTGCCTTCTATGGTTGCTGGGGCTGAGTTTCAAGCTGTCATAAGATGATTATATAGGCATATATGGAATGTAACAAAACTTTTCACTTCATACTGATTTGTAGAGATGACAACAATATCCCAGAGAAATGTCTTTATGTCCCTAACCCCTAATAAACCATTCAATACATTTCCCCTATTGTTCACTTTCAGTATTAGTTTCTTAAATATCACAGCAGTTGCTAGGTCAATTACAAAAGTTCTTTGTTAATATAGCAAATACGTTTCATTTCTCTAGATATTGTAATACAGAGGCATAAATAATTTTAGCATTAATACAAAACATTTATTGAGCCTTACTGTGGGCAATATTTATATATGACAGGTACTTAACAGTGATTGATTTGATCCCATAGGAAGTTAATTAAGTTATTCAAAGCACTGGGTTACCATTTGGAAAGTTTCCCTAAAAGCTTTCTTGTAATAGCTAATTGTACTTCTATTTTATATTACTAGACAGCGGTGGTTGATGTTTATTCTGCACCTGGTTTCCTACCATGTGTAATACTATAATAGTTCTTGTGACTTATAGCAAATATTTCTTCATAATCACTGATAGGATACGACAGCATTCTTATGAGGAGAGAAACCCATGTTTTCAGAGATATAAATCCCAGTTATTTCTACATTAATAGTTTGGGAAGTAGAGTAAGATGCTCTAGACTTATCTAACAATTTGAGGTTACAGGTACATTTAAAATCTTCAACTGATCAAATGTAGTATTTAAAAAATAAAACCCTTATTTTACATTACAAGGAAGTGGAAAAGGACCAGAATATTTTAGACCTTAATTCTTTTTTATATTGTGGACCTACTTTGATAATGACAAACTCATTTATCCTGATGTACAGTGGTATAAATTTCCTTATATATTACCTAAATGGTAAAAACAAAAACACAGAGACAAATTTCTAAGAATGCAGATACTTGGGAAAAAAAAGTACAGTTCTTCAGCCAGTGACAATGCCAGCTGCAGTGCTAAAGTTTCACTTAGTACAGATACTCAACTCCAGTCAAATACAGAATGCTAAGTTCCATACAGCTGTTTCCCCAACCTTCTCTGTTCACAAAAAAAACCTATTGAATGTTTAACTTAGGTAAGTTTTGTTTAAATTTAAAACCTATATGATGCAATGTGGAGACTTATTTTGTGTTGATTGAATATTCCCATTCTATTTCATTAGCACGTTTCTGTTGGCATTTCTATTGCTTTTATTGTGAATTGAGTATGAAAATGAGAATTAATTCTTCTACTTAATATTACATTTTAACATTCACTATCCTTACAGCTATTATTTTACTGTAATACAAAGATTAAATTTCATTTTAAATTATTCTAACCAGTATTTAGGAACCCTCACTTTCTACAACGTTGTTTTTAACTTAAATTTAAGTTAGAGTTCTATTCCAATGTAATCTCTTTGAACCTCCTGCTAAAATGATCTCTTTGCTCTTGATATGTTTTCACCTATCCTGTTCAACATAATTACTGAATCATGGAATTACAAATTGAAGCCCTTTGAAACTACTTATAAACATTATAAAATGCTTCATATCTTGAATGGTGACATTGTTTATTTAATATTATGTGTTTACCAGTAAAATCAGATACTATTTCTCCATCCATATATACGTGGCTTTCTTTATCACCTCTAAATAAGAAATGTATGAGGTGGCAATTTTGATGTACAAACATTTCAGTGGATTTTGACCTTTTATCTTTTACATATATACTCTCTTTTTCAGTGATTCCAATTCCTAGTGTTAAATCCTAACTATATGCTAATAACATTTACATTTATGTCATCAGTTCAGGTCTTGCTCACCAAATCCAGGCTTAGTATGTAACCACATACTCAGTCCTCTATGCGCATGCCTACTGGATATCTCAAAATCAAAGTGCCTTAGTTAGCAGGCCTGCTTTTCTCTGCCAAAGTTCTCCGCCTATGAACTGACTTATTTCGGGCAATGACAATCTTTCAGTTGCTTACGTTGACCAATGTCAAGTCCTGACTCCACTTTCTCTCACACTACACACCCAGTTTCAGTTAAACCTGTTTGTTAAGCCTTCAAAATACTCTGTAATTAGGAAATGACCATTTTCAGTACTTTGATTGTCACCACCAAATTTCCTATGTGGATCACTGCAACATAACCTTCAGTATTATTTTCGTTTTTCTATTATATCCCCTATCTATTGCATTCTACTTTTATAGTAAGTCAAATTACCTTTTTAAATGTAAATCATAATATGCCACTCTTGCTCCAAATCCTAAAGTGGCTATGCACTTAACTTAGAGTTATGTTGCTACAAGGCCCTAGCTAACAAGAACTCAATTACCTTTCTGACCTCATCTCTTACCACCCATACCACACTATCTCAGTATACAAACTTAGGCTTCCTTGATACTCTTGGAACATACCAAGCTTGCATCTGCCTTAGAGACTTTGTCTTAACTATTTCCTCTGTATGACTACTCTTTACCCAGACATGCATATGACCATCTCAGTATTTGCTCAAACATCACTTTCTTTTTTTTTCTTTTTAAATTTATTGAGATACGTTTTGTAGCCCACAATATGATCTTTGTAAATATTCTATATACACTTGAAAGTAAATGTCTATGCTGCTTTGTCGGGTGAAGTTCTGTATAAATACTTCTTTTTTTTCATTATTTTATTTTATTTATTTATTTTTTATTATACTTTAAGTTCTAGGGTACATGTGCACAACATGCAGGTTTGTTACATATGTATACACGTGCCATGTTGGTATGCTGCACCCATTAACTCGTCATTTAACATTAGGTATATCTCCTAATGCTATCCCTCTCCCATCCCCCACCCCACAACAGGCACTTTCTTAATAAGAACTTACCTGATCATCCTATTTAATGAAGACATCATTGTAATGTCTCCCTCCTCATATTCCTTTCCTCTTAACTTATTACAAACCTCTGATCCTTATCTGCCTCTTTTTATAGCACTTATCACTCTCCAAAATTTTATACATTATGTGTATTTATTTTTTAATTATCTATTTCCCATTTCCACTAAAACTGAAGCTATTGAAGATCAAAAAGAACACATAACATAGATATTATGCTTGTTCTGTTACCCACTGTATCCACTTGTAATCAAGTTCTTGGTAGCTAACAGATGAATAGTGAGTATTTCTTGAAGGAATAAATGAAATGACTTTAAATTTTCCTCCAGCCATGCCACTATCTAAGTATTACACTCAAAATTTGTTCTTCATAATAAATTCCTATTTTAACATTCTCAATTTGTACAAAGATTAAGAACACTTTACATACACTGGAAATTCATGCCTTGCGTACGTCTGCTACATTGAATTGTGTGTGTGTTTTTTTTTAATTCCTCTGCTGCCTAAGTGAACACTCAATTAATTCATATTAATTGCAGTCATAGTTAAAGTTGATTGATGCCAGGATCTTTCTTGATGTGACTTCTCCCCTATCTTCAAATATTTTGATATATAACCTCATGTCCTACTTCTCCGTACTGCTCCAAATAATTGCATAGTTTATCTCTGTATTAATATTTTTATCTTTATTTTGTTTTTAAATTCTTTTTCAAAAAAATCATTTATTCCTGAGTTTACGTATCATATATAGCTCTTTTAATTTATGATTCAACAAAAATAATTAATTCATAATGTGAATGGCTTCTTTCCATAAATTATTCTAGATTGTGAGTGAAGAGACATCTGGGTAGAACTCAGTAGAATCAATTTTCAGCATCGCATTCCCAGAGTTATGGGTGTGATTCTCTGATTCATTCTGTGTTAAAAATATGCCCGAGTGCTGTTATGAAAGACAAAGTAGTGGTGTCAGTGGTATCCCTGCAGAATGTCATTATAAGCCTCAGCTATGACACAATGAAAGTATAGCTGGCAGTAAACCAGGAACCATATCAATTACATTAGAAAGTAAACTATTCCCAGTAATAAAATATGTTAATTTTCAATGGAAGCAATTGAAATCTTCGGTAGAAGAGGTCCCCCCAGCCCCTGTGCACCTCAGGAATTTTTGCATTCCTCCTAGTATATTTGCTTCATGCATTAAATAATTTGTTCTCTAAAAATGATGGCTGGGCTGTAAAAGTTCTTTATTCCATCATTGCTTTTAGGAAACCTCAGATAATGGATATGAGGTTCCTAATGAACATTTTACACTAACATTTCATTTTTGGACAAAGATTTTTCAGACATGAGTTTAATACGTCATTTAAATAGAGATTTGTTCCAAGTGGTAACCAATACCTTCAGGTGGTAGAACTTTCATACAAGCAATTTCCATCTTAATCATCTAAAGATAACTTTAACAGTTTCATAAAATTGAAGATTATATTACGTGGAGAAAGGAATTTCTTACATCTCTATGGATTTCTGTGACAGAAATCTATAACGATTATATGCTACAAAACTCAGGGCTTTTTTAACTGTAGTAATCTTGAGCCAGCTTCATGCTAAAACCAGACTTTTCATGGAGAGCTTTTGATAGTGAGTTACATATAATCACACGTTTGGTTATAATTATAAGTTAAATTAGTACATTTTATTAACCAACTCACCTTAAAATATTTTTGTTAATTTTAATGTGCTAAAGTTGGGAGAAATTTAATTCTCACAATTAGGGCTGGCTCTAGGCAGAATTAGGACATTGCTGTGTGTGTTTTCGGTAGTGCTGCGTTTTTTATTTTTGGTGGCTTTTAGCTTCTTTCTCCAAATGTACCCAGGCTCCTGATTCATAGTTTCACCCAAACTATTCTTGCTTGCTTCATAGTATGTACTGAATAAAGTTTTGTTGAAACAATAAACAGACTCCTATCGTTATCTGTATCTATGGACAAGCTTTATCAATTGCTTTTCTTCTCTATTATCTTGCACACAAATAAATTAGAAATGACTCACAGGAAATGAGCTGATATAAAGAAGTACATTTAATGTACTAAAACTGTGATATAAAATAATATGGTTTAAATAACATCCAGCAGATCCATTTCTACATAATTGAGTTTTCTTGCTTGTTAAGGTGATGTAAGAAGGTGATATAAGGATAAAAATTGTTATTCCAATGGAAATTGATGAGAACACACATACTGAAACCCTGTTCTCCATATATTTACTTGAAGGAGAAACATGAGTAGACAGTGAAGTAAGAAAAACCACAGTCCTGTAGTCCATTGTTGGAAGTGAGTCCAATATGGAATTCCTGGATACAGGGTGGAATCAGGTAGAGTCTTTTATTTTCCTGTGCAAGAGAGTTCCAAGATGCCATCATGAGTTAAAGCCCGGCCCAAAGAGCAAACAAAAGTCTACAATTATAGTTTCTTTTTTTTTTTTCAATGATCCAAATATGGTGAGGGAAGACTATGTTTGTCAGGATTAGAGCAAAGGAGCTAAAGAGAAAACCGAACACACACACACACACACACACACACACACACACACACTGAAGTGTTTTTTGCAGCTCAGGTATGGCAACTGTCTTACTATTTTTCAACTCTAGTGTCTAGGATAAGAGCATCCAAAGAGTGAGGGAAAAATTCAGGGAAATCTGAAGAAAGATCAGTGCCCTAATCACTGAATTTGGATAATATCTATGGATATTTTCACAGGAAAAAAAAAAAAAAACAACAGACACACAATACTCTTAGCGTCTTTTTTATTTCTGCCATTCCTTAGCTCCTGGTTTAAATATTTTAAACATATTCACTGCAAAATCATCATAATAAATGCCAAAGTGCCCCCCAGCACACTGAAATACAGTTTATTTTATTTTTTAGTCATAACTTTGCTGTTTTTATCTAACAAAACGTATTCATTCTTCTTACAGAAAATTTTCTTATATCTAGGAAAATATCATTTTATGAATCAAAATGCTCAAAATTCCAAAATTCTGGCATTATTGATTTATGACATCTTGGATGTTTTAGTGTTGTATAGATGTTTTTGCGTAATTGATATCTAAGCATATACAATTATGCACTATTTATTAATTCCAAAAATGTTTATTTAGCTTTTAGAATGTGCCAAGCATTGTTCTCGAAATCAAGGATGTTTCATTGACAAAACAAATTTGCTGCTTTGATGGAGCTCACATGTCAGTGTGTGTGAGACAGGCAGTAAACAGTAAGTAACCTAGTATGTGCCAGCACAGAGTGTGAAGAAAATAAAACCTTTGTAAGGGAAAACTTAGTGGCGGGCGTAGAAGCAAATGTGTTCTATGTTGCTCAGGAATGTCTCATAATAGTGTAGTATAAGTGCAGCAGTGTCAATATTGACAGCAGTGTTTCATGTTATTAAAAATGTAATGGCTCATTGAATGGTTGCATAGTATTCCTCTGTATTTATCCACCACCATATATTTAACTGGACTCCTATGGTTTGAATTTCAGGTTGACCTTTTCATAGTTTGAATAGACTGCAACAAACATATGCAGGGCAAGGCTTGCTCACATTTCTAACATTTACTTGAGAATTGACATTTAAATGTAGAATTGCTGTGTCAGATTTTAATCACTTTAATGATCTTGTACCAATGTTGCTCTGCTTTTCAGAATGCTTTTGATAATATGCAGTTGATTCTTGAAAATCATGGGTTTGAACTGTGCATATGGGCTTAGATATGGATTTTTGTTTTCAAACAAACCAGATCAAAAATACAGTACTCATGGCATTGGAGGCCTGTGTATATGGAGGGTCAACTTTTCATACATGCAGGTTCTGTACGGTCGACTCTAGGACTTGAGTAGATGTAGATTTTGTTATATGAGGGGATCCTGAAAGCAATCTCTTCTGAATACCGAGGAATACCTGTATATATTTTTTCCAGAAGTATATGATATTGCTCTATACATTATTTCCAAGCCAACATTGCTTATCACTTTTTTCATTTTTACTAGTTTGATAGAAGAAAGAGATGGTCTAGGTGTTTATTTAAGGGTTCAAGTGCTAACAGCTCTATCAATTATTTTACTCTGTGCTTATTCTTGTTTCTCATAGCTTTTCATTATTGCATAGTAATTTAGAAAGTATTTTTTCTGTAGTAAAATAAGTTATGCAAACAAAATTTTACGCTTTAGTTGTAAAATAAATTTAGAAACCAAGTATGATTGAAGGGGCACAGGAATAAGGGATCCTAACTTTTTCTTGTCCACCTATTCCCTAGTGGATCCCAATGGATTCCCCCAAAATGTGTTTTAAATAAATAGTCCATAAGAAAAAAACATTATATACTTCAGAAGATGATAACACTCTCTTTGGCTTTGCTAACTTTAATATTCATTTCTCACCCCTTGTCTCCTAAACTCTAGCCGTAGAAAGCAAATTGGAAATTTCTCAGATGTCATAACCTGCTTACCTTCTGGCCTTCTCCCAGCCTGCTTCTTCTAAGAGAATATACTTTTCCTGTATGGTCCCTCCAACTTCAAAACTACTAGCGGTTCTTCATATTCAGAGCCAATGTCCTACTCTCAATCTGCTTTCCACCTGGGTCAGGCATTCTTGCTTTTTGTTTATTATGGCAGAGTACAGAATTCTTAGCATACCTCTATGATTAAAACAATGTGTTTACTTCATGGCTCTTACACTAAATTCCTTGAGGATACAAATGAAGTCTTATTCATTATCCTAGTTTTTATCATTCGGTGGATGATCATGAAATCATTCTTAATTTAATAAGCAAAAGGTATCTTTACCATATATTAATTTTGACATCTTGCTAGAATCCCCAACATTTAGAAAATCCATTTCTCACATCCATGCAACTGTCTGTAAAATAAACTTTAAGCATATCACTTAGTGCTAAAAAAATTCAGTGTTTTTCCGTTGCCTACCAAGTAAATCAAATGTCACAGCTTGATTTTAAGAATCATCTATACTATAGTTCCAGTCTGATAGTTTAGCCTGATGTGGATATGACCTGCTTACAAAATCTGTTAACTTCTTATCATTGCCTGCCATTCTTTCCTCAATACCTCCCAGTAGCCACTGTATTGAGAAGGACTCGTACCAATATTTATAATGGTTATTTGTCTAAATTGCCTTCCCTGACTCCTCCCAATTGAAGAGACACTCTACTTTTTCTGAACTCCCATATGATTTTGTAATTTTCGTATAGCACTAACTGTAGGCTGCCTTTTAAAACAGTCATTCCTGTTTTCATTAGGTGTACTTAACGATTATTTCTGTGTCCCATAATATCATTATTATATTTCTGTCACAGTAATACCATGTTATTAAAATTATGAGTTTGGGTCTAGGCATGGTGGCTCATGCCTGTAATCCCAACACTTTGGGAGGCTGAGGCAGATGGATCACTTCAGCTTAGAAGTTTGGGATCAGCCTGGCCAACATGGTGAAACTCTGTCTCTACCAAAAAATACAAAAATTAGCCAGGCATCGTGGCTCAAACCTGTAATCCCAGCTACTTGGGAGGCTGAGGCAGGAGAATCACTTTAACTTGGGAGGTAGAGATCGCAGTGAGCCCAGATATCGCACCACTACTCTCCAGCCTGGGCGAAAGAGTGAGACACTGTCTCAAAAAATATATATGTGTATATATATATATACATATACATATATATGTATATATATATATACATATACATATATATGTATATATATGAATTTACACATTTCTTATTCCCTTTGGGGTCCCCACAATTAACATGACAACTCTTTGAATAGATACTAAATGACTGATGAACATACACATACAGTTATCATCCTGAAAATGATTGTAAACTTTCTGAGGAAAAATGGCTTTTACTGTATGAAGTTCAGTGTGTTAAATATAATGGGTAATTTATATGTGTTTATGGAAATGAATTAACAAACATTTGACCTTATAAAAGAATAAACCACCAAATAATTGCTGGCTTAGATTAGTATCTATTTTCTGTTTTCATTCTTCAAGTATTTTTTGACTACTGTCCTTGACTCTCCTTGAATTATTTATCACTTAATCTCGTGGATTTTAACCATTTCTGGCTACCGTGATAAATCAAAAAGTGAAATTTCTGTTTTATTATGTCATTTTTATATTGACCAAAAATAATATTGAATAGCTGATTTCTTTTTTTATTAATTTTGAATAAAAACTACTTAAAAATATACAATGAACCTGAAATGTTTTTGTGGATTTAGGAAATAAAGAACTTAATGAGTAAATGATAGACTTAGGCCAAAAAAAGTCAGCCAACCTGACTAAGTGTTCAATGACCATAACCTAGAAAATTTGAACAAGAAAAGTATTGGATTATAACATACAATAAACATTTACAAGCACATATAGACATGAGTAATTTAATCAATAAATATATAAAAAAGAAGAGATCCATCTTTAAAAATTTAAGTTAATGCATAGAAGAAATTCAAGAAATGATAAGTCATTTAAGGAAACAAAATTTGGGAAGAAAGAGGATATTAGAGTAATCTCAAATACTTATCTGAAGATGTTTATCGGTTACAAACTTTAAAAATCAATTTAGAGAAAACTGAAAGCTATCAGCTGAACCAAGTTATCAAGGAACACCATAAGTAATAAGGCATATGGATATCTTGAATGCCCAACATAATATATGAGAATGACAACATGGAGTCTTGCCAAAAATGCATAATATTAATCTAATTATGGGAAAAAACAGGCAAACCCATATTGAGAAACATTCTACAAAATAACTGCCCAGTAATCAACAAAAGTATCAAAGAGAAT